>NW_025791771.1:300000-475876 GCF_000001405.40 Homo sapiens | reverse complement strand
GAATTCCAGCAATCGGACCGGCTGCCCCTTCCCAAGTCCTCTCCTCCATCTTTTCATAGAACGCATACTCTCCACTGTGCCCTTACCCTTGGCTTAGTATACCAGTAGGCCAAGGCCTGTGCTTGGCTCTCTAGCTGCCAGATAATGAGAAGCCCACCACCATCTCAAAGAGCCTCAAACAGTCTCAAACAACTGAAGCCCACCTGGGACCAGCACCACCATGTTATTCAACTTCAGAACGGTGTTTCTTGGAGCACAGCTCACATACCTTTCACTGTAGATGTTGCCCCCTAGAGTTGTGCAATACTGTGCATCTGAAACTCTCTGAGTAACGTATTGGAGAGGATGTGGGATCCAGTGAGCACTTGCCACAGCCACAGGCCTGTGTTGAGGAAAGCAGCCACAATGTGTCCTGTAGTTAACGGGTGACCGGTGACCCCTGGGGCAGGCTGGTGTAAGACTCTGTCTAACTGCAGTGTTGTTCAGTGGGAGGCCACTGACCCACCCAAGATGTTGCCTCCTTGTGGGGGGTTTGAATGTGAGATGCAGCAGAAGCAGCAGAGACAGCAGTTGGGGTGAGAATACAGACAGAGAAGGAGAAACAAGAGGAAGAAGCGGGCAAAGAGATTAGCTTTCCACATCTGGAGGAATCCCTAGGGAGGGGAGCCATGGATGCCCAATTCTAAAATGATGGCATGATGGGAGGTACCTAGGAAGACTCCTGGCACATCCTGAACAATGAGGTGCCCACAGGCCTGCTGGGAAGTACAGAGACCCATGGAAAACGGACTATTTGTTGCTGTGACCCATACCAAGTTTCCCTATGTCCTTAGAGATCTTCACAAGGAGCTCCCATCCCCTGGGGCAAACTAGGTAACCTCTTGCAGGTTGAAAGAGCCTGACTAGAATAGGGAGATATTATTACCAGAGGAAACTGAGCTTCAAAGAAATGCAATGACTTGCTGGCATAGACACTGATGGCCACTGACCCATCAAACACGCACTCTTCTCCCTTCCTAATAGAACTCTGATTCCTTAGGGATGGCAATGTGCCCACCTAAAGCTTTTCCCTGGCTTACAGATAGGTGACGATGAGACATAGTCCTGGCCTGACATATAAGCTGAGAGTTTCAAGAACAGCATTTGCTCTTCTGAAATAGGAATTGCTCCTTCCTCCTTCTCTACTTTTTCCTCCTGCTTGGACCCCTCAGAGGAGAGGCCTCAGAATGCAGCAGCCATCTCGCAACCACGAAGATGAAAGCCACATACCAAGGATAGTATAGGCAGGAAGATAAGAGATGAGTCCCTGATGTCACCATATCAGCCTGGACTGATTCCATCCAGAATTCTCACTATGTCAGAAAGATAACTACCTACATATTTAAGCTACTTGTGGTTGGGTTTTCTGATTTTTGTGTAGCTCAATACCTTTCTGGTTGCATACACCTGCCTAAGTCACAGAGTTGCTGGTAAATGGCAGAGCTGCAGATCTAACCAAGGTCTGTTCAACTCTAGAGCCTTCTCTGCATATTTCCATTGGATGGTACCACCTCCTGCTCTCAAAGCAAGAGGTCTGCAAAGTAACAAGATGCTGCAGGTAAAGCACATGACATATCATAGTAAATGCACAATAAATATGAGCCATTGTTATTTAGGTCAAGTATTACTATTATTAGGTCTAAGCCACTAATTGCTCATCTGTTTTAGTGCCTTAGACAATAGAGAAAATTTGGGAACTCACAAAGAGGTGTCTCTGTTTCTGAGGAAGGGAGAATGAGGAAGGGCTAGGTTTTTTGGTTTATGGAGTGACTGGGAGCAGAGGGGTTGTGTAATGAGATGGACTACCATTCCCAGAGAGCTGCCTGTCCCCCTGGGAAGAACAGCACAGACACAGAGGCCAGAGTGAACCCTGGCATGATCAGTGGATCTGAGTTCTCCCTTCCTGTTCTTGACCTGGACCCAGGTCCCTTTGGAGCATACACAGAAAGGCAGAGGCCCTGAGATGGGGGCTGAGCAGGTCCAGCTGGGAGCATCAGGCACTCTGGCAAACTCACACATTTCTCTTCCTGCCCAGACTACTAATGATTACTAATATTCTGTAGTCATTAAATATGATGTTCTCAGGCTGTACGTGGTGGCTCACACCTGTAATCCCAGCACTTTGGGAGGCTGAGGCAGGCAGATCACCTGAGGTCAGGAGTTTGAGACCAGCCTGGCCAACATGGTGAAACCCCGTCTCTACTATAAATACAAAAATTAGCCGGCGTGGTGATATGTGCCTGTAATCCTGGCTACTAGAGAGACTGAGGCAGGAGAATTGCTTGAATTGGGAGACGGAGGTTGCAGTAAGCCGAGATTGTGCCACTGCACTCCAGCCTGGGCAACAGAGCGAGACTTCGTCTAAAAAAATAATAATAATAATAAAAATAAGTATTATGTTCTCTAAGGACTTTTAATGACATGTAAAAATTCTCATGGTACCTTAAAAAACAGCTGGCATATTAAGCTATATATGTGAGATAGGTTCCATGGTCTCCTCATGATATTTATCCATATACATATATAAGAAATTAAAAGGCAAGAAAGCTCTTAAAAAGCCAATGATGGTTAACAATATTATGGATGACTTATCTTTATCGTTTTCTATATTTCATAAGATTTCTACAGTTCCTTTAATAACCATAAGTCCTTATAAATAAGTTTTTCAAACAATATCACAACCTGTCACACTTTCCCTTTCTTTCTTCAAATCTTTGTATCAATAGAAGCCAAACATTTTCTTCACTGTCAAAATGTGACCCTTACTAACTCCTATAAATATTATCCTAAAACTTGAAAGCTGATTTGAAGAATTGCTAGTTCTAGTTGTGAATAATGTCAGTTCAGGGGTTGTATACATGTTTCGTATTAGATATTCCCTCAGCCTAATTCTATTGCCTTATGTCCGGCCAAACAATTTTCACAATTTGAGTAGATGTGTAACATCCTCAGCTACACTATCTCCAGCTCCATTCCCTCCCCGCTCACACTCAAGCCTTCCTCTCAAGAATGGTGACGATGACATGAACTTCCTTCCTTGGTTCTAACCCAAGGTGTAATTCAGTGATAAAGCTCAAAGGCAACAAAAATTCTCATTTTCATGGGAGGCAATATTTCATTGTGATTAAAGGCCCCAGGCAAGTTGTTTAACCTCTCAGAGTCTCAGTCTTCTCACAGGGAAAATGGAATGACATGACCTACTTCATGGTCTCCCCACTGATCCAAGCTTTTAACAAGTATAATCTTGTAGGTACCATTATTATCTCCATTTTACAGATGAGGAAACTGAGACCCAGAGAAGTTAACTAATTCATCTAAGGTTATTTAGAGATAAGCAGCAAAGCTAAGGAGTTCAAAAAGTATAATTACAGAGCCCATTCTTTTAACAACTACACCTACTTTGCAATACTCCATTGCAACTGCCTACATAGCCTGTGAATGCAATTGAAGAGTCTTTGGGACTCAAGGCTCCCTCTGAGTCCTTGCTTTTTTGAGAGCATCTGCAATGTCCTGGCCTCCTCACTTTCTTCTCTGCTATCTTCTCTGATCCTCATGCCTTCAGTTTGAGCGTGTCTTCTGACTTTCTAAGCTCAGAATTCTCACTTGCCACCACATCATCAGTCTCTCAGTTTCTCAACGCCAAACTCTAGAGGAAGCAGCCTGATTGGCTCCTGTTTTTTGCCTCTGCCCACAGGATGGTCGTAATTCAGGCTATGAGTTGGCAGCTCCTGCACATGGGGCTTTCCTTGAACCAGACCCTTGTGGTGGGTAAGAGTGGTTATGTGCTACAGACTGCAGCATGGCCCCTTGGCCCACAGGAATAGATTTCCTATGATCTCTGGCTTTAGGATGGGCTAGTTACTGAAGGCATGAAAAGTCACTTTACAATTTAAAAGATGGCATTCCTCAGGAATGTTTAGTCTCTCTCCCTAGGTGAGCTCCTCCATTCCCATGAGTTTAAATATCATCTATATGCTTGTAGGTCTCAAGTTTACATCTCCAGCCAAGACTGCTCTTCTGGGTTCCAGCCCAGGGTATCACTGCCTACTTAGCACTTCTCCCTGGAAGTCCCACAGACATTGCAAACTCTATTTTTCCAAAACAGAAGGGCTGGTATGGCTCTCCATATATGACCTGATCCTGCTTACTTTTCCAAGTTTATCTCAAGTTTCTTTCCTCCTCATTCACTCACTGGGATCCTGTTGACTCCTGGATCATGCCAAGCATTTTCCTGTTGCAGGGCTTTGGCACCTGCTGTTTTCTTTGCCTAGAATGCTCCTTAATGGTATCTCTCCCCATAAGATATGAGGCTTCTCTGACCACACATAAAACTAGGCCCACCCTGATATTTTCTATCACAGTTCTCTATTTATAGCTTTCCTAGACCTACATAATCTGTAATTAATTAATTTTTTGGTTCACTTGTGATTGCCTGCCCTCCTCACTACATAGTAAAGCATATGAGGGCAAGAACTCTGTTGTATATCATTGTTGTATGTTACTTGGCACATTAGCAGGTCCTCAGTAAATATCTGCTGAGTGACCAAATAGAATGTGAGTCAAGCAAGCAACAAAAAACATTTTATAAATGGAATACATGAGATCATGTGTGTAAAGCTCTTGGCACGGGGCTCGTAGTAAGCACTCAATAGATGGCACTAGTAATATTATTATTACTATTGCTAGGTTAAACCATGTGATATTGCTAATATTTGAACTCTCTTTACCTGCAAAACAGCAACTTAACGTGGTCCAACCTAATATTGCTATTATTTGGACATGATATGTGGCTTTTAAACATGCTGTCTGCTAACAGCCAGAAAGCATACATTTCAGTACAGTATTCTTAAAATGGAAGAAAGTCTCTGATGCAGCACTCTTCATTTTCCAGCTAACACGAAGAAGTACCTTTCTCCTCTCACTGGGGCCTGGGCCTAGGGGTACATCCTTACCTCTTTGAAGCAGCTCTGATCTGAGATCTTTCATTCTGGGGTTCCCTGACAGAAGACCTTCTTTGTAAAACACCCTGGTGCTTCTGAAATTACTCTGGACTCATTCCGGCAATAAATGTGAATATTGACCATCTTTGCCCAGTTCTCAGATGACAAATATACGAGGCACTTGAAGAGTTGTGGCTTTGTGTTCAAATGCTTTTTATGAGGTCAGGGCATGGTTTCTCCCTAATAAGATGAAAAGTGAATAAAAGATAAACACATTTTCTCTATGACAGAGCTCTCTAGTGTATAACCGGCACTCCAAAAATAATCACACTTGGATTTCCGGAACTAAGTCTAAGCCAGTTATCACACACAACGGCAATGGCAAACTTACTAATGGCAGTGCTCTGTGCTACTTTTCTTTCTGTTTTTCTCACAAAAAGTTTGCATTCCCATATCGTACAACTTTTTCAGCTTATCAGTCCTTTCTCACTTCTGATGCTTGACCCTAGTGGTCTGAAAATAACAATTTTCCAGCATCCTGCCTTCACTCTTCACACAAGCAGATGTCCATCTAGGCCTGGATGTTTAGAGATGAAAAGTTAACTTTTCACCGCTCACCCAATGGTTCAATACATTGTTTGGGATTTTTATTTCTGAGACAAAGATTAACACACTTACTACATCAGAGATAATAGAAAGATGGCTAAAAACTCATACAGTAAGAGATTTTCTTTTCAAGAAATGAAATTATACTGTCCCATAAAATTTTAACATCCTACTTGCATTTGGAAATTAGCAGAATGACGTAAGCATTCTGTGAAGAGTATCATTTTAAATTGGGAAAAAAATCAATAAGTAAAATAAATTGGGATTATCCAGACTTACCTGCGACATGTGCAGAACTACTAGGTCTTCATGAGAAACTTGGTAAGCTTCCCCCTATAGCCCCCATCTAGCTTAACAGCACAGTCATTTTTTTCATAACGTGAAAGTTCAATAGCTTAAAATGTTACAGCTGTGAAAAACAACATCACCACACAGCAACAGCTCATGAGTTCTGACACTCTGAATATCGAATCTGTATTACTGTATATCTTACAGTACAATCCAGACTTTATGAAGAAGAGTTGGCTAACAGAGCAAAATAATACTGCAAGAGGAAATATTTAATCTGTGCAAGAAACAACTCTTTCAAGCAGCCATCAGATCATAGAATGCTGAGCTGAAAGAACTGTGGAGAGCCTCTAGTCTAACTCCTTCAAATTAAAGTGCCAGCCTGGGCCCTCTACCAAGAGGATGTGTCTGAAATAAAGCCTCACAGTGAAGGGGAGAGGAGGCTGAGGGGGCAGGGTCCCACCTGAAAGTCCTGCATTTCTAAGTATCACACGAATAACTGAATGTTGGCCAGGCATGGTGACTCACGCCTGTAATCCCAACACTTGGGGAGGTCGAGGTGGGAGGATTGCTTGAGCCCAGGAGTTCAAGACCAGCCTGGGAAACAAAGTGAGGCTCTGCCTCTACAGGAAATTTTAAAATTAGCTAGGTGTGGTGGTATGTGACTGTAGTTCCAGCTACTCAGGGGGTGCTGAGGTGGGAAGAACCCTTGAGCCCGGGAGGTCAAAGTTACAGTAAGCTGTGATCACACCACTGCACTCCAGCCTGGGCAACAAAGCAAGACTCTGTCTCAAAAACAATTAAAAATAACAAAATAACACAATGTTAAAGCATTCACTTCCCACCTCACTGAAAGACATGATGTCTCCTACCTATCTATTGAATAAAACCCAAAATTGGTTTTCAAGGCCCTGGTCCTACCTTTCTAGCTCTTTTTCACATCACTCTAAACATCTACACAGACTCCTGCACCTTGGATATCCTTCCGCCCCCTTGGTGATGCCCTCTGTCCTGCTGTTTTAAGATACCCCTCTTTCATGCAGCCTCCGTGGCTCCTCAAACCTAATATGCGCTTATTCTACTGAACAACACCCCAGCACGTCTGTACCTCTCTTAGAGGATGTATCAAATTCTGCATTCAATCATTTGTATGTTTGTATCATATCCTTCGTTAGGCTGCAAGTTTCCAGAAGGCAGGGAAAACATCTGATTCTTACTGATTGATTATTCCACAGCCCTTTGTTTATAGGAGCGCTCAAGAAACTGAGAACAAATGTGTTCATAACACATTTTTCTTGTCTGTTTATAAAAGCAGATCCCAATGAAGCCTCAACCAACTGCATTTCAGGAATTCTGTGTACATGGAATCAAAAAGTACAATTTTACTTCACTTTTTCTTCTCAATATTTTATTTTGTAAATGTTCAAACATACGCCTGTCATTAACTACAGTTCACTATTAGTTTTTTTTGAGGTGAAATTTACATTCAGTGAAGTGCCCAAATCTTAAGTGTACATTCACTGAGTCTTGACAAATATATATACCTGGGTAAAAACTCTTACTTCTCTATAGGAAACTACTGTTTTGATTATTTTTCCTCTACCATAGACTAGGTTTTCCATCCTAGACTGATTCTCCTGGAGAAAACTATAAACTATTAACAAAATATAAAAAATAACTACCTGGAAGCACTGTAAAAAGATAGACAGTAAGCAGATTTCAGAGCGGGGAGAATGACACTTGGAAAATGGAAAAAGATCTAGATATGTTTTTCAGTTTTATGGCTTTCAGCCTGGTGTCAGGCTGCCACCAGTGCCATGCTGCATGGCTAAAACTCCAATAGACAGCATGTAGTGCTTGGGTGACAGACTTTGGGACAATCACAGCCACTACAAAGTGAAAGGGGAGAATCCAGAAAGTACAGAGCCAGAAAGGGAGAGCCCCAAATTCTATGTAAAAACTGCCCAAATCTTTGGCTGACCACTGAACTATGCATGCATGGGGCAGACGCTAAGCAACCTAGCTAAGGATAAAATAACTAAGCCGAGAATTGAGGTAGTGCCTCGATTCAGAGACAGAGTTTGTGGTTTTAGCTCAACCAAGCTGAATGTTGGCAATGGCAAAAAACAAAAGAAACAATAATAAACAACGACCCCTCACTTCCCGGAAAACCTGTACAGAGGAATATAATAGAATCCAGAGTCTCCACAATGTAATATGCACAATGTCCAAAATACAATCCAAAATTATTTAACATACAAATAAATAGGAAAATGCAACCCATCCTCAAGAAAAAAGACAGTCAATAGAGAATCCAAGATAACCTAGACGGTGCAATTAGCAGATAAGATTTTTTAAAATAGCTATTATAATTGTGCTCAATGGCATAAAGCAATATATGAAATATATAGGAAACCTTGGCAGAGAAAGTATAAGAGAGAACCAACTGAAAGTTCTAGAATTTAAAATATAATATGTGAAAAATTTTAAAAATCACTGGATGAGCTTAACAGAATAGTGATAACAGAAAAGGTCAGTGAACTTGAAGATAGATTCATAGAAATTATCCAATCTGAAGAACAGAAAGGAAAAAAGATTGAAAATAAATGAACAGAGCCTCAGACCTGTAGGACAACATTGAAAGGTCTACCATAGGTTTAACCATAGTCCCAGAAGGCAAAGAGAGAGAGAATGGGACAGAAAAAACATATTTTTTTAATGGCTGCAAAGTCTTTAAATTTACAGATTTAAGAAGTTCAATAAAGTCTAAGCAAGATAAACATAAAGAAAGCCAAAGATAAAGAGTAGAAAATCTTGAAAGTAGCCAAAGGAAAATTATACATTACATAAAAGTAACAATAATTCCAGTGACCACTCACTTTGAATCAGAAACCAAGGATGCCAGGAGATCGTTATAACAGCATTTGGAAAAAAAAACTTGGCTGGGCCTGGTGGTTCACGCCTGTAATCCCAGTGCTTTGGGAGGCGGAGGTGGGAGAATTGCTTGAGGCTAAGAGTTTGAGATCGGCCTGGGCAATATAGCGAGACTCTAGCGAGACTCTCGTCTCTACAAAAAAAAAAAATAACTTTTTTTAAAGTTAGCTGGATAAGGTGGTGTGTGCCTGTAGTCCGAGCTACTCGAGAGGCTGAGGCAGGTGAATCACTTGAGCCCAGGAGTTCAAGGCTGCAGTGAGCTACGATTGTGCTACTATATACTCCAGCCTGGGTGACACCGTGAGATCTTTTCTCTTAAAACAAAACAGAACTTCATCCCAGAATTCTATATCCAGTGAAAATATCCTTCAAGTATGAAGGTGAACTTTACATTAAGTTTACATTACCTTTACATTATCTTTTAGTCAAAACTTTTTATTTTATACTAATGGTTAGCCACGTAGCAGTTTGCATACCAATTCATACAAACTTCAAAACACATTTAAAAATTAAGAGTAATTAAAAATATCATGTGGGCTGGGGGGAAAAATCAACAAAACAATCTGTCACCCATTTTTTCTTTAATACTGAATAGTGTGCAAGAAGTTACTTTTCTGTAATCTGCTCTAAGACTGAGAATCATTTATACTGGTCTATACCGCCCTGGCTATCTCTTCTTCCTCCTTTTCCGCAATTATACCACTAAGAAAATCAAGGAATATTTATACTTATTCCTCTAAACATTATCGAGACCTAGAGAAAGAATGTAGAACTGACCACTAAACAACCACCTGCTAACCACCTTCAAAATGAAGGGTAGGCAAATGATTAGGCATAAAGAAAGAAAACAGGCAAGGTATCCTGAAAGGACACATTCGAGTTGGAGAATTAACTGCAAAGGTTGAGATTGAGTCAATATTTGCATTAGAAATCTCAACCTGAATTAACACATTTGTTGGACTTGTTAGTCCAGAAATAGTTCCCCAGAGAGCTCTGGAAGTGTGATCTCCAGCACATCTGCTCTGACTTTTATGAGTTCTCTTAATACTTTTTAAAGCTGCTGTGAAGTGTTAATTTTTGTTCAAAGAAAGATTACCAAAGAACCTGTTGGTAACACAAAGATTTCCTTCATACTATTCTTCTGGCCTTCCTTAAACCTAGAAGCTGTTAACATCCCAAGCTGATTGCCAAACACAGTTATTAACTAGCCTCTGACATCCAAACAACAGCTGTGTTCTGTCCTGCTAAAGGGCAGCCTCACTCAGACAGTGACTCTCCAAAGGTCAGCTGTGTCCTGCAGCAGGAAGTCCACTCCACGGTTGGTGGCACATGCCTGCACAATGGAACAGTCTATGTTTGTCCCAATTCCCTTTCCTCCCTCTTGGCTAATCTTCACTGGTTGTAAATGTTCAGCTTGCCTTGCAGAGGAAGTGGGGGCCTTAAACTTCATCCTGCATGTTCACCGCTGCTCTCACTCTCAAACTCTTTTCCCTAAAGATCACCTTAGAGCTGCCACTGAAAATGGTGCTGAAGACAAAGGACCAGAAGATAAATTAAAAACACTTGCCTCAGAAGCAAGCACACTTATTAAGTATTTATTGTCAGACATCGTTCCAGCTTTCTTATACTATCCCCCCCACTTCTGTAAGGATTGACCCTCCCATTTACAGGTAGGGAAAGTGCAATTGCTCAGAGAGTTTAAATGAACTGCTTATGGTCACGTGGCTTTGGAGGGACACCATAAGAACACTCAGTTCTCTCTGACTCAAGCTTAAGGGTCTTTCTACTCTGGCAACCTTCAGAAGTGGAGATACCCTTTAGAATTCCAACTGGATTAAAAAAAAAAACTTGTCATATTGATGAGAGGTAGGTGGAAAGTTGATTTTAAAATTTATTGGAGGAGTAAATGCATAGAAATAGCTAATGCCATTTTAATGGTGATGATGCCTTTACAGGTATTAAAAAAATATGTTATAAGACTAAAGCATAAAACAGTTGGTATTTGTTTACACACAGTACCTGGCTGATAGTAAGTAGTCAATAAATGTTAGCTATCATTATTATAATGTTAGGTGCCTTTATATGTATTCCTTCATTTAGCCTTTTTTAATAGGAACACTGTGAGAACAATTTTATTCCCATTTAACAAATCAGGAAATTGAGGCACAGAGAGTTTAAATAACTTGCTAAAGTAAGTAATTGAGTATCTAGAACCTGAACTAACTCTGTCTGACTTCAGAGTTAAAGGTGTTAATGCAGCACTGATACTAATTATCAAAAGTCTGGGGAACCTAAGTGTTCATCAGTAGGGAGATGCATAGATGAATTAAGGTGCATCCATATAAAGAATATTCCTGAAAATGTGGCCGATCTGTAGGTTCTGATATTAAAAGATGTTTACAATGTATGTCAACAGAAACAAAAGTTGTATTGATCTCATTTTTATTAAATGATTATATATGTATTGTTATAGCTGTTGTAAAGTACATAAGCACATATATATGTGTGTACATGTATGTACATGTATGTACACACACATATATATGTTGTACAAAGCTGTACAGACAGATATACACGTACACCATCCTTATTCTCTATGGACCAGTACATCATCCTTATTCTCTATGGATAGAATTAGGGTGAGGGATGGCAATCCTTTTTTAAAAATTTTTTATTGTTTCAACCTGTTACAAGCATGTACTGCTTCTATAATAAACAAACAAACACATTTTAAGAAAGTGACTCACTATCTGAAAAATGAAAGATATTCTTTTTAAAAAATGCTTCCATTAACAGGTTAAATGAAAACTAATTTTAAGTGCAAATGGGTCCTTCCCTACTAGGAATTCAGTACAACAGTTTCCACTATAAAACGGCACTCTAAGCCTGCAGTAAAAGAGGACAGTCTGGGTTTTAATGCACACAGTCTCCACAAACAGCTGTGTCCTCGCTTGCAGCTGGCCTGGTGCCCTGCACACCTGTGCGTAGGAGTAGAAGGGCCCTTTCCTTCACAACCACTGCTTTCAGCCAGTGCTGGTCAACAGAAGTAGGGTACAGAGAAGTGAATGGCTGCTTGAATATCACTGTGGTCTGGGTGGTCCAATTATAACCAGACACACAGTGAGCCCAGACATGGATTAATCTGGTTTGGGGTAGATCCCAGATATATAAGGTACTGTAGGTCAGCGGTGGTGATGTATGGAAAGGTCACTCCCTGGGTAACGGGTAGGGATGGAAGGAAATCTGGTTCATTCTCTGTTCTCTAGACTGATTACTGGATCAAGTCAGCCTAGAACCATATCCTAACCCCAGCATGGAACAGGGTAGGCATGGGAGAGCCTAGTGTGCCCACTGGTTAACTCTACCCCTGGGGCTGGCCTAGAGATATACTCTTGTGTCATACTAGGCAAGCTTCAGACAGTGAAGTAGAATTGTCATTTGATGCCATATTCCGCTGGTGAGTGGATTTCAGATAGAATTTCCTTGGAGTTGTCTCAATAACAAGGTGGCAAAACCGTTTTCTAAATCCATCTATGAAGGAAATTTTCTCCTTCCTTCCTCTTTCCTCCCTTCCTGTTATTAGGTATACACTCCCGCTCAGCCTTATAACCTCATCTGAAACTTGGTATGGCTCTGGCAGGAGATAGCCCAGTTACCTGCCAACAGACAGGGAGGACATCCTGTGAGGAGGAGCCTCAGAGCACGGAGCCTGGATCTGATGGAGACTCTGTGCTCTACCCACCATGCTGGCGACGCCTGTGGTGGCAAAAGCTTCTTGGATGATACTGGTTTGAGTTTTCTATTCACAGTCAAACTTTTAACTTTTACTTTTTTATCAAAACAAACAAAATCACATGGTTTAAATCAAATTGCTGAAAAAAAATTTTAAAACCCACTACTTTGAGGCAAACACTTTCAAAGCTTTTAGCTTTTTTTAACCAAATATACTAATATTGTCATTTCTTGATTTCTCTATTTTATCCTTCAACTATTAATTTCCTGTTTAACTGTTTACATTTTAGCTCTTTTGCACCACCACATTTTCCCTTCCCTTACATATTGTAAGAACTGTTCATTAAAAAGCTAAGTTTTGTTTTATTTTCCCTTGTACAACTCCCTTACAGTTAACATTCCCTCTTTATTTCATTTGCTTAATATTCTATGCATCTATATTCAAATTTTTCCAAATATCCTGCCTTAACTCTGTGTGGGTGTGCGCGCATACGTTGAGTGTGCATGCATCCGCACATGTGTGATTTTCCAAATGGTCGGTTATATCAGATCATTTGGGAATTCCCAAGTAGCTGGGCCTACACCACTGGGCTTCTCATGGCTGTTTTCCTGTGTTGGTTTTCTGGCTCCTGGGTTCTGTTTCTCTGTTTTTTATTTATTTCCTCATTTTGATGAAGTACTTATTCTGGTTGTTTCCTAGAAAAAAATCCGCAGGAAGCAAAATTTTCAGTCCTTGCAGATTTTTAAATGTCTTTGTTCTGTCTTTACACTTGATTGAAAGTTCAACTGTATATAAAATTCTAAACGGAAAATAACTTACCCTCCAAATTTTACTGACTTTATTCTGTCTTCTAGCTTTCAGTATTGATGTTTAAAAACCTGATAGCATTCAGATTTTCATCAGTTTGTTTGGGACAAGTTTTCCCCCTCCAAAAGCTTTTATGATTATTTCTGGCATTTGGGATGTCGATTATAATGTGCCTAGGTGTGGCTAATTTTTTCCATTCATTGTATTGGCCTCTAGATTGAAAACATCTTTCAAAATAGAGTGTCTTGACCTTCAGTTCTGAAAATTCTCTCACATTATTTCTTTGATAATTTCCTTTTCTCTCTTTTCTGTGTTCTCCTGGAACTCCTATTAGCCAGATATTGAACCTCCTGGATGTGCCATTTAAAGTTTTATTTGTTGTTTCTCCCCTATTTTCTGTCTCTTCATCTTTTCATTCTACCTTTTGGAAACCGCCGATTTCATTTTCTAGCCCTTCTATTACATTTTATAATTGTTTAGTTAGTGATATTTTTATTTTCCAAGATCTCCTTCTTATCCTCAAATGTGCTAAGTTTTAAAAAACTTTATTACAAAAAATTTCAAACAGTTTGATATCCAAATTAATGCCTTATATATAAGGGCTTGAGGTCAGATCGTGTTATGTCAACGTCCTCCCTCTACGGCACAGTGTGGTCCACGTCCTGTATTGAGGAGGGAGTACATGAATAAATAAAAGTTACAGCTAGCTAAGGCCTCCCTGCTTACTGCCTGCTACTCAGCCATCAAGCTAACATTCTGATCTCCCATGGTGCTTGGACAGGCAGCAATAAAAAGAAAATCTTCATTCCAAATTCTGTTATCATTTGTAAATATTAAAATTTGATTTATTTTAAAAGACCCAGAGGTAAGATTATACATTTCAATCCAACAAGGCTTACCTGGGCCTCATCCACTCCCAGGAACTCATTCCACAGCAGCTTCTTGCTAAGGAAAATGGTAGGCTAACAAGTGCTGAGGCAGAGCCAAAGCTTTCAGCCTGCCCTGGCTGGTGGCAGTGCCCTTTAGCACTCTCCTTACCCCTGGATCTAAAGGCCCCCAGCTACAGCATCATATCCAAAAAGGTTGGGCAACAACCAAGCTATTCTGGCCACTTCTAGGAGATGAGGATGATGCTAGGCCTAAAGATGGTCCCCCAAACAAACTGGCTTTCTGGTCTCTAAAAGTCTGAGCATTATGTTATGATAAATACTACGCAATCTATGTAAACCAGTCAGTTCCCTTTTAAAGAGATATCATACAACTCAAACAGGGTGGTCTAAGTATTTTAGTGGTTAGCACACAGGATCACTTGCTGAGTGCTCACGGACCAGCATCTCCTACCCAAAAACAGAAGTAAGCTACTGCAACCTGCTTTCTGACACCCTTCTAGGGCTCTCCTGTACTTGGAATTTGGAGAATGGCACCACTAAGTCGGAGCATCAAGAAAAGTTAACTTGGCAACGTGATACAGGAAGGTGATGCTTTGGCAACACTCTAAGTTGAGTCTTTTGCAAAAGTTTGATAAAACATATAAATTCTAGAGACAAATTCAGCTTTGTGTCACCTTAGAGACTGATGCAATCTTACTTTTAGCTTAAAAACATTATCAAGGAATAAGAAAACATTGGTAATATGACAAATATAAGGCAAACTTTCATTCCTCCCATTGGTGTTAGCCTGACAGTAAATGTCAGGAGATGTTTTTCCTGCTGTCAGGCCATTTATAATGTCACAGGGCATGCGTGGATCCTTCAGACCCAAACTTTATGAAGACTGTAACTGCTGCCATGTCTTTCATCTCGCACAGCCTTCACTCCAACACTCACACATCTTTTCAGAACACCCTCTCCCCCACCTTTGGCTCTGCTCATCTGCGTGGTTGCAGCCTGTTATGTAACTGCCACCTTATCAAAGCACCAAAATGTGGAATTGCTGTATATTTCTTAAATTATGCAAGGCTTGACCTTATTGCTGGGAAATACCTAGCATTTTTAAATTGTCTTCAGAGGTCCAGGCAGCATTTGGAGGAGCTATTACTATATCGCTTGTCATTCTTCGGATCTATGCTCATGCATGCAACCAGGAGATAATTGATAACTTTTAGACTGATAACTGCACAGACGCATACTGAGTTATCTCTTTGCAGTCTAAGTATTTCACCCCAGTTTTCAAGAAATAATTTTAACAATAGCAAGCCCTTATTGAACACTTACTATGCGCCAAACACTGTTTTAAGCGCTTCACATGCATAGATTTGTTATCCTTATAACCATCCTGGGAGCTAGGAATTATTTTTATTTTGTAGAATATAATTATTTTTATAGTTTGAGTTCTTGTTTTATAGATGAGGAAACATGTTAAAGGTCACACAGCTAGAAACCGTGGAACTGGGATACAAACCCAGGCAGTGTGCCCCAGAGCCTTGCCCTCATCACTATACAAACTGCCTCTCTACCTCCTAATCCTGGCCCAGGTCTCCATGTGCTGGGGTTTGGCAAGCTCAAGGCTCATGTTTGGATTGGGTTTACTTGGGTGCAGACAGTTTGGGTTTGGTTAACCTGTGGTGCAGACAGTTGGCAGGCCACAGAGGCTAGGCATCCACACTTCAGAAGGTGCTCACAAACACCTTGACAAACGGAGCGTTTCCCACAAGAATTCTACTATGCTCAATATTGTGTCACAGTATGCCCAAGAGTACTTTGAAAAATAACCTGGCCCAAGCTTGGGCCCAGGCCAGTTTGGCTGAGAAGGTACACAGGCTGCAGTACTGAGCCACTGCCGTGACATCCTGGATGGAAATCTGATTGTAGAGTAACCCAAACCAATTCCTGAGATGAGAAAGCTTCAGAAAAGCTTCAGTGTCCACAGGGATGATATCAGTGAGCTCAAAAGAGAAAGCCGAACCAAAGAATGAGCTCTAAAGCAGATTTTCTCAAAGGATGATCTGAAAGCTCCCTGTGTCAGGATCATCCAGGGAGGTTTTCTTGGAAATACTCAGGTCTTACCCTAAACCTACCACATCAGAGTTTCCCCCTATTGGGCTTAGGAGTGTGGATTTTGATAAAGCTCCCCAGGTAAATCTGATATATTCTAAATATTGATAACCACTGTTTTGGTCTCTGGGGCTTCCTGGCCAGGAATCTATGAAGAGATGTATTATGAATGCAATTTTCAATTCAACAAGTAGCATTCATGTCTGAGAATCAAGGTACTAGGCTCAGCTCTAATGGATTGCTGGTTGACTTTGGGGATGTCCCTTGGTCTCTCTGAATATCAGGCACCTCATTAGTAAGATCAGGGGAATAGGTTCAACTCAGCTCTACATCCTGTGCTTCCTACCTAAGCCTTTACTGGAACAGAACTAATGTAAATCCTAAAAGGGGTGATCAGATGAGTAACTGGAAGGGCAAAAATCACTATGGGCTAAAGTAGGGTATGGGACCTCGACAACTGGCATAATCTGGATGGGACTGGTCATTGTGATAGGGCAGACATCCTAGTGAGGGGACAGAGACCCAGATGTGAGGCTGTGAGGGAAGTGGGTCGGGAGGGAAATGGGAAGGCATGTCTAAGTAAAGCGGAAGGTTTGGAAACAAGGGTGGAAAGGTAAGATGGTTCTAGGTTACAGGCACCCTTGAGGGCCAGGGAAGGGATGTGGAATATGATAAAATCTAATAAGAAAAGTGACTGAGGAAAAGTCATGTTTTGGGAAGATGACTTTGGCAGCCCAAGTAGGACGTGAAGGGTGGGGTTCAGGCAGCCCTGGGGGCTCAGTTAGAGACACTTGGGAACCAGAGCACAAGCTCATTCTAAAAGCAATGTGGCCTTTGTGGCCTTGACCTGAAGCTGTGGCAGTGGGAAATGGAGGGGAGGAACATGTCAACTGGAAAAGCTCCAGGACCCTGAGATTGTGGGTAGTTCTTACGCTTCTTTTGTTTACTTGTTTTTGCTGTTTGCTTGGCTGTAGTTTCAGTTCTCTCTGTAGTAAGCAGACACTACTTTGTGATTAAAAGAAATATACCATTTGGCATTTCCTTTGGAAAACCTGCATATAAATCTCCACCCCTTTGCAGATCAGCCCTTCCTAGCACTAGTCTGTCTCTCTTCAGAACCTACTTTCTCACATCTTTTTTCCTGCTCACCTGTACCCCAGACCCCTTGTCCCTTTGCTAAGAAGCTTCTGCAGAGCATTCTTCTTCGTTTCCAGATCATTTTTCCTGCCAGTCTCTGGTACTGCAAACCTGGTTTTGCTCTTCAGCCTCGAAGAGAGACTTCTGCCAGGGTCCAGGTTCCCAGCCTTGGGAGAGAGGGTCAGCAAACTTCCTGCTACCCCACAGTAGCTCACACCACGACACTACTAGGTCTCTTCATCAAGCCTTCCCTGAGGAGTCAACTTTCTTTCCATCCTTGAAGACAATCTCTACCTGCCTCAAAATCTTCTTCTCCAAAAGAATTCCTGTCACCTCCCTGGGAAATGCTCTCATCCATGAGGAAGAACACTGAAACTTCCAGCAACACAACCCTCTGACCTACCCACATTCTATGATCGTTCCTTTACTTCCATGGCTACCTATTAAACTCCAGGTTGCCCAGAATTCCTATAAAATGTCAAACTCTGAAACCCCACTTTGGCCATAAACTCCTATCCTTTGGCCTCTTGGATACCCATATTCCAACTAATTAATTAATTATCCAGTCCTTGGCACTATCTCTAATTCACTCTTCTCCCAAGGATTTGGATTCTAAAGCCAATCATTTAAATTGCCCTTATCAGTATCCTGAATTCTCTCATCCTCTGAAGCTCTGTGAAGCCTGCTGGGCCACCCTCTAACTCCATACCAATCATGCTCTGTTGGGCTCCCTAAAAATGCGGGCTTATAGTTCCAGTAAGGCCTCTGATCAACTCAGCTGCCCACACCCCATCAAATCCCTTTCCTGCTGTCAGTTCTATTGGAGACTCTTATCACTTTCCTCAAGACCCCTGTTCTACTCTGATTCCCACCCCCACCTCCTGGCAAATGGTCTTACCTCTGATTTCACCAAGAAATTAGAAGCCGTGGCTTATGAACACTCTAATTTTCCCTTCTCTCCAGCTCTGAACTTCTCCATATCTTCAATCATCTTTTCCTCCTTTCTGGAAAGAAATATTGTCCTGTCCCTTTAAGGGTAACTTCTGTGTCTGAGTACAGGCCCTCCTATCTTTCTAAGGGCTTTACTCAGCCGATTACCCCTTCTTTCTTACAGCTCCAAACTCTCCTTCCCTGACTGTTCCTCAGGAGGCAACAAAAATGCTTTGACACTCTCCTCCCCTACCACCCTCTCATCTTGCAAACTGCTAAGATCTTTAGAAAGTTTTGCTATTTTTGTAGGAATGATGCATGCTCATGCAAACATCTTAAACAATACAGAAGAGCAAAAAGAAAATAACTACTACCCAACATCCTACCACTCATAGATAACTGCTGTTAGAATTTTGATAACCATGGTTCCAAACCATTCTCTATGTACATATTCATTTATATTGATGTATATGTTTCAACACAGAAGAGCCTACACTGTATATGCTCTTCTGCAACCTGCTTTTTGTAACTAACGATATGTCCCTTGCACTTTTCCATGTCAATATGCTATGTTTTATAACATGAGGGCATTCTAGTGAATTTAATTACTTCCTTGTCCCCTATTGATTTTTTTCAATATTTTTTGCTATTATAGGTAATCCTGTGTTGAATATTTCTGTGAGATTATTTACTTATGGCAAATTCCTTAAAAGGGGTTGTTGGATGAAATATACTAACATTTTATGTTTGATATACACTGTTTTCTAGAAAAGTTGTATAACTTGGACTCCTATCAATAGTGACCATTTCCCTAAACCCTTAAGGACCCTGAGTTTTGTTAATGTTTACAATTTTTACCTAACTAATATCAAGAATGAAAAAGAAGACACTGTTATAGATTCTACAGACATTATAAAGACAAGAGGATATTTTGAGCAACTTTCACTCATTATTTTGAAAAGAGATGAAACGGGCAAATATCTAGGAAGAAGAAACTTGTCAAAACAAATACAAGAAGAAAGAGAAGATCTGAACAATCATGTATCTATTAAGTAAATTAAATCTACATTTGAAAACTCTCCCATAAAGAAATTCCAGGCCCCAAAGGGCTTCACTAAAGTATTCTACTAAGTATTTAAAGAAGAAGTAACACCACCTGTTCACAAATTCTGCCAGAGAATAAAATTCCTCAACCTGTTTGAGGCCAGCATAACCTTGATACCAAGACCTCACAAGGACGTTTAAAGAGAGGAAAATCACAGGCCAACCTCTTTTGAACATGATGATAAAGTCACCAGCACTGTTAAGTACTACAGTGGTTTGTTGCCTACCTTCATAACTGAGAAAAATGCCATGTTTTAGTTAGAGGTCAATGAAAATTAAGATGTAATATTTGTCTAAGTTCATGGACTCCCTGAATTCTATTCGTGGACCACTTGGGAACCTGTGGACTCCAGGTTAAAAATTCCTACACTAAAGACACAGTGATAGTGGCAGCTTAGACCACGGGGGAGCCAGTGCTCCAGCCCGAGTGGAAATCCCAACAATTTAAAGCCTTAGTGGAGCTTCTGTGCTGGGGATGCCACAGGTCTTCAAACACTTGGTCCAACTGGATTTCTTTTAAGATGACTCTTCTTAATATTCCATTTCACATATGTCTTTGTTCTCTTTCCAATATGATTTCACTTTGCTTTGTATAAAGGCCCTGACTAAACATTCAGTTTCTTTATTCCCAAAATAAATTCCCATGATAACAAGGTAGAACTGGCAAATCATTCTTTTGATGACACCCATACTATCTGGCTACACGTTTGTAAATAGAACATGTTAAACCATTTGTGGCTAGAGCACTACACAAAACCAACTTGGCTCCAAACCAAGCACGTAGAACACTGTTTGGAAGGTCACCTTAGAGAAACATATTAAGACTGGGGTCTGACGTGGCTCCAGTGTGCATACCTGGCACAGCCTGAACTGTCACTGAGGATCACCTGAACCCCCTTTGGAAAGCTCAATTACCAAGTTTTTTGGCAATCTTCCTGAATACTCTCCTATTGGAGGAAAGAACCAACTAAATGTAATAACTGCATTTTAACCTCTTCTTTTGAGTTCATCTGTATGTGAAGGCAGTAATATTTTTAAAATTTTATCCTAATACTCAGCTAGAGTCCAGGATTATTATTATTATTATTTTTTGAGACGGAGTCTTCCTCTGTCACTCAGGCTAGAGTGCAGTGGCTCAATCTCGGCTCATTGCAACCTCTGCCTCCTGGGTTCAAGCGATTCTCCTGCCTCAGCCTCCTAAGTAGCTGGGTTTACAGGTGTGCACCACTGCATCCTGCTAATTTTTGAATTTTTTTTTTTTTTTTTTGAGTTAGAGTCTTGCTCTGTCACCCAGGCTGGAGTGCAGTGGTGCGATCTCAGCTCACTGCAAGCTCTGTCTCCTGGGTTCATGCCATTCTCCTGCCTCAGCCTCCCGAGTAGCTGGGACTATAGGCACCAGCCACCACACCTGGCTAATTTTTTGTATTTTTAGTAGAGACGGGGTTTTACCATGTTAGCCAGGATGGTCTCGATCTCCTAACCTCGTGATCCGCCCGCCTCGGCCTCCCAAAGTGCTAGGATTACAGGCGTGAGCCACCGTGCCCAGCCAATATTTGTATTTTTACTAGAGAAGGGGTTTCACCATGTTGGCCAGGCTGGTCTCAAACTCCTGACCTCAGGTGATCCACCTGCCTTTGCCTCCCAAAGTGTTGGGACTACAGGCGTGAGCCACCACGCCCGGCCTAATATTTTTCATTATGAAATATTAAACATACAGAGAATAAATATCACAATTATATATTGAACTACCCAGCTCTAGCAAATCTTAACATTTTGGTATATTTATTTCAAGAAAACAGTTCATAAAAAGCAAAACATTAGAGATACAACAGAAACTCCCTGTGTACCCCTTCCTGATCCCTATCCCTCCTTTCCTCTCTCTCCAAAAATAACTATTATAAATTTGTTATTCACCATGCGTAAACATTTTTTTTTTCAGTTTTTCAACACACATATATATCCATACACTATATAGAAACTATTTTTTGCACGTTTTCACACTTTATATGTATGGTACCATGCTGTATGTATTATGGAACTTGGTGTTTTTTGTTGTTGTTCAACATTACATTTTTTAGTTTTAGCCATGTTAGTAGATGTTATGTTAGTGTTTTCCTTTTAATTTCATTATTTGAACATGTATCAATTTATTTATCTAGGATTTTTATTTTTATTTTTTTGAGACGGAGTCTCGCACTGTCATCCAGGCTGGAGTGCAGTGGCGCGATCTTGGCTCACTGCAACTTCCACCTGCTGCATTTAAGCGATTCTCCTGCCTCAGCCTCCCGAGTAGCTGGGATTACAGGCAGCCACCACCAGGCCCAGCTAATTTTTGTATTTTTAGTAGAGACAGGATTTCACCATGTTGGCCAGGCTGGTCTTGAGCTCCTAACCTCAAGCGATCTGCCTGCCTCAGCCTCCTAAAGTGCTGGGATTACAGGTGTGAGCCACTGCACCTGGCCAGGATTTTGTATTTATATGATCTCTTCTAAACAGGTCTCAAAAGAGTATATACCTAAAGAGAATCAAGGGGCCTATAAGAACTAGCCTCTTTTTATTTCTAATAGTTCCTAGAAAATGAGCACCAGGTTTAATTAAAGCAAGCATCTTATGAAGCTTCTTCCAAGCTGAAACATGAGCAGGTAGGAGCCACAGTACATTTCTTTCTTTCTTTTTTTTTTTTTTTTGGTCCCCCTCAAGAGCAAGTAAGCTGCAGTATATTTCACTAGAATAGTTCCATGGTGTAGCTGAGCATTTTTCCTGCTGTGAAATGGCCAAATCTGACTCTTAGGCTACACCAGAGGGTCCATAAGCCACTAACGTCTTTTGACAAACTCCTTTCTATCTAAAGTAGTTTAAGTGGATTCTCTGGTTTGCAACTAAGAACTCTGACCAATACAATGAGATTCAAGCATCTTTAAGAGCCTCCTTAGCACAGTTTCCTTCTAAAAACATCTCAAAACTCCATTTGTATTTAGTTATACACCTAGATATAGTGTGTAAGTGGTAAGAGTGAGGCCTATCATTTCTCCCAGAATTTCAGAGATAAATGCTATTGGATTCTTGACCTTTACTACAAATTCTTTCTCTCACTTCTACGATTCGTAGTACACAAGTGATTATGAAGACAGTCAAGGGTTAACAAAAAGATTCAAGGAAACAGAATTTGTTCTATAAACAACAAAATAACGTGCATTATAAGGAAATGTGGACTGTCATCTTGGGTGAGCTTAGAATTTATTCTGTTAAATATGCTGCCCATGACAGAGGCAAAAGTGGCATCTTTTGGAAAAATACATCTTTCAAGATGTAAATCTGAAAGGGCTTGTAATAGTCTCCAAATACTATGAAAGGGCTTGTAATAGTCTCCAAATACTATCTAAGCTTCATTTTTACATTGTAGTCAGACAGACTAGGTTTGCCTCCTGGCGCTACTATTTGTTAGGTGCATAACTACATCACAAGCAAGTTACTTAACCTCTTTGAGACTGTTTCCTCAGCTGTAAAAGGGAGAAAATAATACCTATATCTTAAGGCTTTTGGAAGATGAAATAAGATATATATATATATATCTTATTTTTATATATATATAATATTACTTGGTACACTGTAGTCATAAAAACATGATAGCTTCCATGGCACTTTGCATATATCCTTTTCTTAAAGCACTGTGCTTAAATACCTCAAATACAACGGCAAGGTCTTATTCACACATGCATCCCAAGCACTTGGAATGACTGAATAGCACGGTGGTGCTCAAGAAATGCTTACTGAATAAATAAGAGATAGTATTAATAATAATTAATGTTTATTAAACGCTCATATACTTTGTACTATATATGTATACATAAAATAATATTTAATATTCATATTAACCCTATAAGGTATTCACTACCATGAAATCAAGGCTCAGAGAGATTAAATAACTTGTCAGAGTTCACATAACTCTTAAGTGATATAGCTGGGATTCAAATCCAAGCCCACATCCTTATACTCTATTTGCTGCATCCTGCACAAGCACTGCAGGAAGGTGTCAAGAGAAGGTGACACTTGAGGGGATCTCAGAGGAAAACTAAGCACCTATCAGGTACATGAGGGAAAAGCCATCTCAGTAAGAGGAACCAGTATATGTACAGTGTACAGTGAAGTGAAAAAATGGTGTTTAGGCTCAACAAGTGGCACAGAAGGAGAATCCCGCATAGGAGGCTCAAAAGGTGGCCTTTGGCCAGACTATGAAGGGTTACATGCTGTGAAACTCATGTTTTGGGGGTCACTGAGAAACATCTTTAATCCAACATTTCAGAGCTGTGCTTTAGAAATTTACATTCAGCAGCCCCTTGGAGGTTGTCTGGAATGAGAGCCCTGATGAGACAGGCAGATAGGTAGAAAAGGATGTTAGCCACTTGTCCAGTCTTTGGCCAACTCTGGGACTCTGGCCATCTCTACATTATTTTCTAAGTGATGTCTTGAAATTGTTGGCCATCAGAATTGTGATCTCTATATGAACTGGGTTATACTTCCTGAATGAAGACTTCACTCTTAGGAAAGTTTCACCTGATTTATTTACCTGGTGGTGATAGAACTCAAGCCACTTAGAGAAAAAGCTTGGCTCTTCCCTTTTGTTTTGGGTAGTGTAACCACTTCTTTGTTTTCTGTAGATTTTTTCTGGATGGCCAGAAAGGTGTCCCACACACCCTCAAGACCCTAGGCCCTCTCTGCAGAGCTGGGGCTTCAGTACATTTATTTTTGTTTTAGTGACATGCAACTCCCTTATTCTCTTAGACACCCTATTAAGACAGTCATCATTTTTATACTATTGCATAATTACAGTTTAAACTCAAATGCTTATTTATCTTATCTTATGCTTTTGTATTAACTTTCTGTATAAGTATACTCAGTATTAGAAGAAATTCTCAGCCCCAATTTTAAACCTGAAAAAAAGATACACGATACAAAATCTGTTTGGGTAAGTGACTAAAATAAAGAGTGAAGAAAGTCCTACATCTTGCCTTTCAGAGTCCCCCTAATTGCAAAATGTAGAATAAATCTGCTCTGACAGATTGTCCAACGCTTTCATCTTCTCTTCTGTTTAAATCATGACCAAAAATTTACTTCTGAGGGAAAGCTGGTACTATCCTAAGTTTAACACTGCTTCACAGTAAGGAAAGCGATCAAAATTTAAGGAGAGATTAGAATCCAGAAATAGGCCCACACATATATATAGTCATTGATTTTTAATAAAGGTTCAAAGGCAAAACAATGAAGAAAGGATGGTCTTTTCAATAAATGATGCAGAAACAACTGGACATCCACGTATGCAAATAAACTTTAATCCATGCCTTTTACTTTATCCAAAAGCTAATCCAAAATAGAAACCTCCCTTTCCTCCCTCAAAAAAGCTTCTAGAGAAAACACAGGAGAAAATCTTTGTAACCTTGGGTTCACAAAGATTTCTCAGGTATGACACCATAAGTATGATCCAGAAAAGAAAAAAAATGATAAACTGGACTTCATCAAATTAGAAATTTCTGATCTTCAAAAGACACTGTTAATACCTCACACTCATGAGAATGGCTACTATAAAAAACAAACAAACAAACAAACAAAAACAGAAGATAACAAGTGTGATGAGGATGTGGAGACACTGAAACCCCTGTGCACTGTTGGTGGGAATGCTGTGGAAAACAGTATGGAGGTGATATAGTTTGGATGTCTGTCCCCTCCACATTTCATGTTGAAATGTGATCCTCAGTGTTGACAGTGGGGCCCGGTGGGAGCTGTTTGGGTCATGGGAGCGGATCCCTCATGAATGGTGCCCTCCCCATGGAAATGAGTTATCAGGAGATCTGATTATTAAAGAGAGTCTGAGACCTCCTCGCTCTCTCTCTTGCTTCCTCTCTTGCCGTCCCTCTTTGCCTTCTGCCACGACTATAAGCTTCCTGAGGCTACAGCAGAAGCCAAGCAGATGTCGGTGCCATGCCTGTACTGCCCGCAGAACCACAAGCCAAATAAAATGTGTTTCTTTATAGCAATGCAAAACAGACTAATACAGGAAGTTACTCAAAACAGTACAAATAGAATGACCATATCCAGCAATTCTACTTCTGTATATATACCAAAGAACTGAAAGCAGAGACTCAAACACCTGTGTTCATATGAGTATAATTCACAATCACGAAAACATGGAAGTGACACAAGTGTCCATCAACCAATGAATGGATAGGCAAAGGTGGCATACATACACAATGGACCACTATTCAGCCTTAAAAAGGAAGATAATTCTAACACATGATACAACATGGATGAACCTTGAGGGCAGTATGCTAAGTGAAGTAAGCCTATCACAAAAAAATACTGTATGATTCCACTTATATGAGGCAGCTGGAGTAGACAAATTCACAGAGACAGAAAGCAGAATGGTGGTTGTCAGGGCAAGGAGGGAATGGGGAGTTATTGTTTAATGAATAGTTTCGTTTTTGCAATATGAAAAGAGTTCTGGAGATGGATGGTGGTGATAGCTGCACAGCAATATGAATGTACTTAATACTAATGAATTGTATACTTAAAAGTAGTTAAGACGATCAATTTTTTTTTTTTTTTTTTGAGACAGAGTCTCACTGTGTCACCCAGGATGGAGTGCAGAGGCGCAATCTCGGTTCACTGCAACCTTTGCCTCCTGGGTTCAAGCGATTCTCCTTCCTCAACCTCCTGAGTAGCTGGGATTACAGGCGTGCACCACCACACCTGGCTAATTTTTGTATTTTTAGTAGAGACGGGGTTTCACCATGTTAGTCAGGCTGGTCTTGAACTCCTGACCTCGTGATCCACCCGCCTCAGCCTCCCAAAGTGCTGGGATTACAGGTGTGAGCCACTGCTAAATTTAATGTTATATGTATTTTATCATAATAAGAATTTCTGAAAAAAAAAAGACATTACTAAGACGATAAAAATATAAACCATAGACTGGGAAAAACATTTGCAAAACACATATTCAACAAAGTACTTGTAAACAGAATTACATTAAAAACCCACAATAATAAGCACTCAAACAATTCAGTTTTTAAAAAATGGCAGCAGTTTGAACACTTCACCAAGGAAGTTATTTGGACAGCAAATAAACACATAAAAAGAAGTTCAGCATCATCAGAGATTTAGGAAACACAAAATGAAACTATGATGAGATACCACTAAATACCCACTATAATGGCTAAAATTTAAAAACTGACAATATCAAGTGCTGACAAGGATGCACATCAACTAGAAGTATCATACATTGCTGGTGGGAGTCAAAATGGTACCACCACAGATAATATTTTGGGGGTGATGGAAATACTCTCTATCTTGATTGTGGTAGTGGTTATACAGCTGTATGAGTTTGCCAAAACTCTTGAAACTTTTTAACCTGGGTTACATGAAAAAGAGTAATTTTTACAGTATGCAAATTTACCTTAATTTTTTTTTTAATGAGACACGGTCTTGCTCTGTCACTCAGGCTGGAGTGCAGTTGTGCAATGATGGCTCACTACAGCCTCCACCTCCCAGGCTCAAGCAATCCTCCGCCTCATCCTCCTAAAGTGGTGAGACCACAGGTGTGCACCACCACGCCCTGTTAATTTATTTTTATTTTTTGTACAGATGGGGTCCCACTATGTTTTCCAGGCTGGTCTCTAACTCCTGGGCCCCAGTGATCCTCCCACCTCAGCCTCCTAAAGTGCTGGGATTACAGGTGTGAGCCACCACACCCAGTCAATAAAAAATTAAACTTAAAAAAATTCAAGGACAGAAGACAGGCCTATGTAGTGATACAAGGTCTACTACAGAGTATAAAAACTAACGCTTACCAATAAGTGCTCATACATTAGAATTAATAGCAACTCAAATTTTATACTTATTTCACGATTGCTATGAAATGTATAATTCTAACTAAAACAAAAATGAATATGTTCAGCTATATCCTCAAAAAGAGAAAATAAAATATGACTCTAACTGAAGTCTTTGGAATTAAAGTCAATGGTTTCTGACTTGTACATAAGGGAGCCAGATACTTAGAACAAATGTGTGATAGGCTAAGCATAAGAGCTAAATCTTGATCAGAATACAGAGAGAAAGATTACATACAGTTTAAAGTACAGTATGAATTCTTATTGGTACTAAAAGGCTACATTTATTCAAGCCATGTTGACAAGGCAGTGCAGTCTGTTCAAGACAGCCTGAAACACTGAAAGCTTAAATACTGATTTTGAAAGGTAAGAACAGCATCAGTCATCAAATATTAAGCTGCTTCTCTTCAATTTTTAAAGTGCTTTAAATACCAGGATTTTAAAACATTTTGGCAAATAGCCTTAATATAAATTATAATTACAAAGAAAGCTTTTCAGTTTTTAACTAGAAGCAGTTACTCAGAATCAAAATGAGCTATTACTTAGGTGATTACATAATCTCTAGCATCCAGAAAGGCCACTGCTTATTAGGTCCTGGTTTCAGAGGACTATACCACCAGTGTTTCCAGACCTGATCTCAAATACAAAAATGTCCACATCCCAACCCAGTGCTACAAACAGTTCCTGAGACTTTGCTCCATTATTTGATATTATTTCAGAGCCATAAAGACAAGTATTTGCTTAGTTTTATTTCAAATAAAGCACTGAATATGCATCCCCATTTTTTAAATATAGGAAAATATATGTTAAGAAATTAAAGGGAAGAATTATTTAAAGGTAGTGGATTTTTAAGAGAAAGATAGGTCATTAAAATACTGAACTTTAAATGTCTGGTAAGTCAAGATTTCAAATCTGCAAAGTAAGTTCTAAGACATATAATTCTTTCAACATTACCCAAGAGAATCCCTTCACTCCCTTTTTCAATAGCTAGATGCTGCTTCCCTTGGCACCATAGGTTACCATCAAAGCAAATGAAGAAACTTGTGTGTGTGCGTGTGTCTGTCTGTATTTATTTATTATTATTATTATTATTATTTTTTGAGACAGAGTCTCGCTCTGTCGCCAGGCTAGAGTGCAGTGGCGCAGTCTCAGCTCACTGCAACCTCCGCCTTCCGGATTCAAGCAATTCTCCTGCCTCAGCCTCCCGAGCAGCTGGGACTACCAGTGCGTGCCACCACGCCCAGCTCATTTTTGTATTTTTAGTAGAGACGGGGTTTCACCATGTTGGCCAGGATGGTCTCAATCTCTTGACCTCGTGATCTGCCTGCCTTGGCCTCCCAAAGGGCTGGGATTACAGGCATTGAGCCACCGCGCCCGGCCTTGTGTCTGTATTTAAATCTAGACTCATTTATGGCCAGAGCATTTCCTGACCATGGCCAACTCCTAGCTGAACAGCCTGGTGAACCCACTGGCACTTTTATGTACCCCCTCAATCCACACCCTCAACATCACCAAAAGGGAAAAAGCCATTTACTTCAGAATTAAACTTGAAGTGGTGTGGTCCCTTCTGAACACCCAGTGCTGCCATGCCAAACGGGGTTCTTCCCCAACCTGGGATGCTACAGTTAAGTACAGCTTGGGGCAAGTTTCTAGAGCCCAAAGACCTACTTTCAGGGTAGCCCAGACTGGAAGCAAACTCTTCTAGTCACTGGCCAGCAAGCCCTGTCTACGCACCATGAGTGCTAAATCCAGATATAAGGTCCTTTGTGTTTGCCCCAAGAAGACATTTCTGTTTACTTAAATGGATGCTTCCTTAACTGAGAAACAAAGTGAAAGCTATCAGGTTAAACATGCTTGCTAATCAAACAGAATATTAGATTTAAAATACATTTAAGTTAGGACACTCATGAACTTGAAGCTAAAATTTTGATATTAAGACCAAAGTTTATGAATGCATCTCATTAAGGTTGCTTAAATCACAGTTGTCACTGATGCCCTACTGATCTAGACTTGATTTCACAGTGAATTATCTTTTCTCTTTTCAATGGACAATTAAGATTTTCAAAGCACTAACTGAATTTGACTTTTACATCAGTCATTAGCATAATATTGAAATAAACCTTTAAAATGACAACTTTCTAATTCTAGTCTTCCTTAAAATACTTAATTTGGGTAGGTCTAAAAATCAGGGGACTTCTGCCTCCAAGAAGATGGAGTAGACATACGTCTTCCTGTTTGCCACTAAGTACAACTGAAAATCCTGGACATTATATATAAAATAAACATCAAAAGACTGTGAAAGATGGAAAGAAGAAAGCAGATCAGCTAGGGACCTTGAATCCTAAAGAACAATAGGGTGGTGATTTCCCTGGGTTTTCTTTTTGCCTGGTAGACAGACCCTAGACTTGGAGGTAAAGAAGCTGGCTATGGGAGAAAACCGACAGTTGCAGACGAAGAGACCCAATAAAAGCCTACTCTCTGTAACCAAAGGACCAGAAAAGGGGCAGTCTAGCAAGACAGAAATCTTTCAGACAAAACTGCTCTACTATAGCCTAATATCACCCCCATCCCTTCCGCCACACACCTACTCATGCCAGAGAAAACCTAATGGCTACCTAGAATTCCACCCTCATAGGGTGTAATGAGGCATCCTACCACCCATGCTGGAGTGGTGTTAAAGGTGGCCAAATATGAAGCTCATCCCTGAAAGCTGGTAATGAGCTCCCTCTTCTCCCAGTGGTCAGTGGAGACCACATGGCCACCTTGGACTTCTACTCCTATCCAGCAGTAATGAGGTGCTCCCCTTCCCATTGAGGTGGTGTCAGAGGAGGCACAGGAAGTCAGGGCTTTCACTCACAGCCAGTGGTAATGAACACTCCCATTGCAGTACAGTAGAGACCACACAGAAGCCGAACTCTCTTCCTGCCCAGCAGCAGGTCAAAAGAGGCAAAGTGGGGGCTGGGCACGGTGGCTCATGCCTATAATCCCAGCACTTTGGGAGGCCAGGGCGGGCAGATCAGGAGGTCAAGAGATCGAGACCATCCTGGCCAACGTGGTGAAACCCCACCTCTACTAAAAATACAAAAATTAGCTGGGCATGCTGGCAGGCACTTGTAGTCCCAGCTACTCAGGAGGCTTAGGCAGGAGAATCACTTGAATCTGGGAGGTGGAGGTTGCAGTTAGCTGAGATTGCACCACTTCACTCCAGCCTGGGCAACAGAGTGACTCAGTCTCAAAAAAAAAAAAAAAAAAAAAAGATAAAAGAATTTAAAAAAAAAAAAAAAAAAAAGAGCCTAAGTAGGAAGACTTGACATCCACTCCACCTGACATTAACAAGGCAGTGCTTCTTTCCTGATGGGGGCATGTCAGAGAAAACCAACCAAAACAGAAGGCTTAAATAAGACCCAGAGTCTCATAACATAATACAAAAATGTCCAGGTTTCAATTGTAATTTGCTTATTATACGAAGAACAAGGACTTCCCGAACTGAATGAAAAAAAACAATAAATGCCAACCCAACACCAGGATGACAGAGATTCTACACTTATCTGATAAAGATTTTAAAGCAGCCATGATTTTTAAAAAAATGCTTCAACAAACAATTAGGAGCATGTTTAAAGCCTGGGTAACATAGGCTGACCCCCGACTCTACAAAAAATACAAAACATTAAGCCAGGCAAAACAAAACATGTGCCTGTAGTCGCAGCTACTCAGGAGGCTGAGATGGGAGGATCACTTGAGTCCATGAGGTTGAGGCTGCAGTGAGCCATGATCACACCACTGCACTCCGCTCTAGCCTGGGTGAGACAGAGCCTCAGCAAAGAAATAGTCTCAGCAGAGAAGAGGAAGATATAAAGAAAAACCAAATGGAAAATTTAGAACTAAAAAATATAATAATTGAGATAAAAATCTCAGTGGATGTGCTCAATAACAGACTAGAAGAAATAAGGAAAAAAACCCAACAAATTTGAAGACAGAACAACAGAAATTACCCAACTGAACAACATAGGGGAGAAAAGACTGAAAACCAAAAAAGCTCAGTATGGATAAATCTGTGGGACTATAACAAAAGATCTAACATTTATGTCATCATAGTCTCAGAAGGAGAAGAGAAAGAGCAGAGCTGAAAAAGTACTCAAGAAAATAATGCCTGAAAACTCCCCCAGTTTAGCAAAGACATAAACCAAGAAGCAGAATGAACTGCAAACAGAATAAGCTAAAAGAAATCCATGCCAAGACATATCATAACTAAACTTCTGAAAGCTAAAGATGGTAGGGCCACTTTGGAACACAGTTTGGCAGTTTCTTACAAAACAACAAAATACTCTTACCATACAAACCAGCAATCATGTTCCTTGGTATTTACCCTAAAGAGCTGAAAACTTAAATCTACACAAAGACCTGCACACATATGTTTATAGTAGCTTTATTCATAAGGGCTAAAACTTGGAAGCAACCAACATGCCCTTCAGTAGGTGAATGGATAAACTGTGGTACATACAGACTATGAAATATTAATCAGTATTAAAAAGAAATAAGTTAACAAGCCATGAAAAGACATGGAGGAAATGAAAATGCATATTACTAAGTGAAGGAAGCAAATCTGAAATGGCTACATACTATATGATTCCAAGTATATGACGTTCTAGAAAAGGCAAATCTATGGTGACAGTAAAAAGATCAGTGGTTGCCAGGGATTGGGCAGGGGAGAGAGAGATGAATAAGTGGAGCACAGAGGATGTTTAGGGCAATGAAATTATTCTGTATAATACTATAATGGTAGGTATATGTAATTATACATTTGTACAAACTCATAGAATATAAAACCCCAGGAGTGAACCCTTATGTTCTTGGACCTTGGGTGATAATGACATGTCAACACAGGTTTATCAATTGTAATAAATGGGCCACTCTGGTGTGGGATGTTGATAGTATGGGGAGCTATGCATCTGTGCAGTCAGGGAATATATGGAAATTCTCTGTGCTTTCTGCTCAATATGGCTGAGAACCTAAAACTGCTTTTAAAAATAAAGTATATTTTTAAAAAGTATTGAACTGAATGAAAACCAAAATTGCAAAATATCAAAATTCGTGGGACACAGCTAAGGTAGTGTTGAGAGAGAAACTTGTAGCACTAAATGCATAAATTAGGAAAGGGAGAAAGCCTCAAATCATTCATCTAAGTGCCCCTTCAAGAACCTAGAAAAAGAAGAGCAAAATAAACCCAAATAAAGCGGAAGTAAGGAAATAAAGATAAGAACAGAAATCAACAAAGTTGAAAACAGAAGCAATTTTAAAAATCAATGCAACAAAGAACTGGTTATTTGTAAAGAATAAGAAAATTGAGAAACCTCAAGCAAGATTGACACACAAAAAATAAGATGGAGGACACACATTGTCAACATCAGGAATGAAACAGGGCATAACACTACAGATTCTGCAGGCATCAAAAAGGTAATAAGGGAAAAATGCTATGAATAGCTCTATACACACAAATTTGACAACTTAGATGAAATGACTCAAATCTCAGAAAAACAAAAAACTACCCAAGTTGCCCAATCTGAAAGAGATAATTTAAATAGCTCTATAACTATTAAGAAAATTCAATCTGTAGTTTAAAAATTCCCCCCAACCCCCATCCCTCCGAAAAAACGTCCAGGCCCAGATGATTTCACTGGAAAATTCACACCAATTCTACACAATCTCTTCCAGAATACAAAAGAGAGGTAACACTGATACCAAACCAGATAAAGACAACACAAAAAAAGAAAACTGCAGACCAACATCACTTACAGACAAAAAAATCCTTAACAAAATATTAGCAAATAGAATTCATCAATATATAGAAAGAATTATACACCACAACCAAGTAAGGTTCATTCCATGGACGCAAGTCTGGTTCAATATTCAAAAATCAGTTTAATCTATCGCATTAACAGACTAAAGGAGAAAAATCACATGATTAGACTAATTGTTGCAGAAAAAGCATAAGACAAAAGTTAACATTCATTCTTGATTAAAAACTCTCAGAAAAATTGAATTAGAAGGTTACTTCCTCAACCTGTTAAAGACTTCTATTAAAAAACCTACAGCTGACATTATACTAATGATAAAATACTGAATGGTTTCCCCCTAAGACTGGGACCAAGACAAGGATGTCCATTCTCACTACTCTTGTTCGACATACTGCTAAAGTTCTAGTCAGTGCAATAAAGCAAGAAAAAGAAATAAAAGGCATACAAGTCAGAAATGAAGACATGTAAGTGTTCTTATTTGATGACACGTTTGTCTATGTGAAGGACTTCAGGGAATCTATAAAAAGCCTCTTACAACTAATAAGTGAGCTCAGCAAGGTCATAGGATACAAGATAAGTATTCAAAAATCTTTTGTATGTCTGCATGTTAGCACTGAACACGTGGGCACCAAAATAAAAAATAAATACAATTGATAGTCGCTTAAAAAATAAACACTCTACAGCATTGTAGGATAACTATGGGCAACAATACTATATAGTTTTAAATAACTAAAAGGAGGATAATAAATGCGCCCAACACAAAGAAATGATAAATGTTTGAGATGATGGATATGCTAATTACCTTGATCTGATCACTACGCAATGTGTTTATATGATTATATACCCTATAAATATGTAAAACTATGATGTATCAATTAAAATATGTATAGTTTAAAAAGAACACTCAGATGTAAATCTAATAAAATATTAATAGGACTTGTATGCTGAAAGCCTAATGGCAGAATCAAAGATCTAAATAAATAGAGAGACGTACTGTGTTCATGGATTGGAAGACTTAATCTAGAAAAGATGTCAGTTCTCCTCAAATTGATACACAGGTTTAATTAAATTCCTATCAAAATCTCAGGAAGATATTTGTAGATATAGACAAGAGTATTGTAAAATTTACATAATGTGGCAACAAAACTAGAACAGCTAAAACAATTTTGAAAAAGAACAAAAGTTGGAAGCATCAGTCTACTCTATATCATGACTTATTATTTAGCTACAGAAATCAAGATTATATAGTATAGGCAGGGGGATGGACATATAGATCAGTGGGACAAAATAAATAAACCCAGAAACAGACCCACATAAATATGCCCAACTAATTTTTGACAAAGATGCAAAAGAAATTCAAAGGAGGAAGGACAGATAACTTTTTCAACAAATGTAGCTGAAGCAACCAGACACTCAGAGACAAAAAACCAAACCAAAGTTTCACGCCTTATTAAAAAATGGACTCAGAATGGATCATGAACTTAAATTTAATGTAAAATTATAAAACTTGGAAAAAGCGTAGGAGAAAACCTTCGGGATCTAGTGCTAGGCAGAGAGTTCTTAGATTTGACACCAAAAGCACAATCAATAAAAGGAAATATTTATATATTGCACCTTATCAAAATTTAAAACTTTTGCTCTGAAAAAGGCTCTTTAGAGGATGAAAAGCCAAGCTATAGGCTAGAAGAAATACTTGCAAACCACATATCTGAAAAAGGACTAATATCTATAATATATAAAAATTCTCAAAACTTGACGGTTTAAAAAAATCCAATTAGAACATGGGCAAAAGACATGAAGGGACAGCTCATCAAAGAAGATATATAGAAGAAAAATAAGCACATGAAAAGATGTTCAACATCATTAGCCATCAGGGAAATGCAAATTAAAACCGTAATAAGCTACCACCACATATCAGAATGGCTAATATGAAAAATAGTGAAGTGATAATTACTCAAGGTGATGGATACCCTAAATACCCTGACTTGATCATTACACTATTCTATGCATATAAAATATCATATGTACCTCAGAAAAATGTACAAATATTATATATCAGTTTTTAAAAAAGAAATGAAAAAGGTAACTCAAAGGAGTTCCTTTGTGGTGACAAACGAGTTCTGTAGCTTGTGATGGTGGCTATACAAACATAAATGTGTTAAAGATGCATAAAGCTACAAAAAATGAATTCATGCAAAAACTGGTGAAATGTGAGTAAGGTCTGTAGTCTAAACAACTGTATTTGCCAATGTCAATTTCCTGGTTTTGATAATGAAATATACAATTATATAAGACGTTAGCGTTAGGGGACACTAGGTGATGGGTACATGGGACCTCTCTGTATTATTTTTGCAACTTCTTTCGAGTCTATAATTATTTCAAAATAAAAATTTTTAAAAACAGTGACAACACCAAATGCTGGTGAGGATGCAGAGAAACTGGATCACTTATACATTGCTGGTGGGTATGTAAAATGCTACATTTACTCAAGAAAACAGTTTGGCAGTTTCTTTAAAAAGTAAACATGCAACTACCATATGATCCAGCAATTGCACACTGGGCATTTATCCCAGAGATATGAAGACTTAGGTTCAAACAAAAACATGTATACCAATGTTTATTGCAGCTTTATTCATAATACTCAACATCTAGAAACAATGTACAGATCATTCAAAGCGTGAATGGTTAAACAAACTGTGGTATATCCATGTCATGGAATACAATTGAGCAATTTAAAAAAAAAGATTAATACAAGGAACAACCTGGATGAATCTCCAGATAATTATGTTGAGTGAAAAAAAGCAATTCCAAAAGATCACATACTGTTTGATTCCATTTAGATAATGTTCCTAAAAAGATAAAATTTTAGAAATGTAGAGTGGATTAGTGGTCACCAGTGGGATATGGAGCAGGGTGGGCATGGGAGGGAAGCAGTGTGACTCTGAAGGGCAACAGGAGGGATCCTCCTGATGATGAAATTTTTCTATACCTTGACTATATCAATGTCAACATCCTGATGTGATACTATACAGTTTTACAAGATGTCAGTAATAAGAGAAACCGGGTAGAGGGCATAGAAAGTCTCTGTGACTTCTTAAAACTGCATGTAAATTTACAGTTATCTCCAAATAAAAAGTTTAATATAAAAAAGTTAGTCTGAATCTACTATAAATCTGCTTCTGTCATCTGAAATAATTATTGCTTCCAAAAGTCTTCTCTTTGCTATAATTTTGTTAGCAGCCCAAAGCTTAAAGTTTCTGAATTAACACTGAGTATTACAAACATTTAAAGGAAACACACCTAGCACCTTAGGCAAAAATATCTGCCCAAACAAATTTTCCTGCAGAAATCTCATCAAGGACACATATTAGCTTACAAAATAATTAACTGTTTAGATGTCATTGATATGTTCTTGCTAATACTGCATACTAATTGAGATTTTTTTGGTTTTATTATTGTTCAATTCCCTCAAATTATTTCTTTCCCTTCAAAGAGCTATGGGAAATTTCTTTTTTTAGTTAAAAAATTTCATCTGTAAAATGAGTATATTTCATTAATATTTAAACAAAAGGCAAAGTTTCCTCTCCCTAGAGGAATCTTTGTTGTCCAGTCTTCTCCCAGAGGAATATTTGTTGTCAGCTTATTTCCTTCCATATTACTTTTTCTGTATTTCTAAACAAATATACAGTTGTGTGTATGTGTGATTTTTTTTTTACAAAGGTAGGAACCATACTGTTTATACTGTTCTTCAAAATTTTTCCTGCTTTAAAATGTCTTGAAAATTCACCTATCTGTATGTTTAGATTTAATTTAGCTCATTCTTTTCAACTGCCTCACAGTATTCTGCTAATGATGTATCATAGCCTAACCATTCACCTACTGACACTTAGGATGGTTCTAATACTTGCTATTGCAAGCAATGTAGCCATTAAGTGAAAATCCTTGTACATGTTTCTTTGAGCACAAATGAGGTTATTTCTCTAGAACAGAAACTCAGAAGTAGAACAGGAGCTTTCAATGTGTGGTCAATACTGCTGTTTGGCTGAACCAATACCTGTTCCCACCTATTTTCAATCTTCTCCCCTCCTGCCTCCCACAGCAAAGGCTGGTTTAAAAGCTGGAAACTCACTTTCCTCACTCTGTTTGCAGCAAGGGGTAGCCATGTGGCCTGGTTCTGGCCAATTAAACATCAGCAAAGTTTTCTGGGTGGTCCCTAGGAATGTTTTTGCGTTTCTGCTTTCCAGGTAAAAGGAATACACAAGACTGGCACTCTTTTTCCAGCCCTAAAGGTGGCTGTGGTGTTTGGAAGGGTGGCAGCCATGCTATAACATGAGGGAAAACCAGGAGAATCACTATGATGTTGGCCCTGGTATCAATGAGTTGCTGAAAAAGCTATCAGCAGCCTACCTCAGACAGCTTATTATGTGGGAAGAATAAACTCCTATTGGTTTAAGCTGCAGTAAATCTGGTTTTCTGTTACTTGCAGCCAAATGTGTTCCTAATTGATTCAGTATTAAATTACTCTCTAAAAACTCTGTACTCACTTTATTCTCTCACAAAAGTCTATTAAGTCATTTTCCAAACCTTTGTCTACTTTGAACATTGGCAGTCATTTAAATGTTTAACCAAGCTGATGCATGAAAAGGTTTCACATGAAGTAGAGCACAATTTCATATATTTATTGGCCATTCAGATTTCTTCCTCTACGACTTTCTTGTTCCTAACTCTTGTCCACTTTTCTACTGTACTGTTGGACATTTTCCTATTAATGTGTAAGAGGAAATTTCCAGATTGCAAAGTAGGCTGAGTTAAACTTACAGGGAAATTTGTCTCTTTATCTTGACATTATCAACCAAATCAAACACAACTGTAAGATATGAGCATTCTGTGACAGGCCAGGCTGACAGTGACAGTCATCTCTGAGTTGTGCACCACCACGTGGCAATGTGTCAAGAAGTAATTCAACTTGGTGCAAAACACCACAGCCCATGCTTAGTACTTCCTTTGTAAATCTGTATCTAAAGAAAGATTTATGGAATCATGACACAGTGGTGAACCAGGCAGAGTCTTTAATGTACATCATCTCTTTGAACCCTCAGGTCACACCCCAGAGGTAGTCATTACTATTCCTATTTTACAGAATAAATGATGAAAGTAAACATGTAAAAGCAATAGTTTCTTCCCTATTATAAAACTTAAATATTTAAAATATTCCAGGCCCAATATTTTTAAAACAAAATAATTATCTCAAAATAAAATTATGTAAAATACATTTTTACATAATGTAAAATTATGTAAAAATGTATTTTACATAATTTTATGTGCCCATCTGAAGATATCAACATGCTTAAGCTAGAAACATTGCTGAACCGGTTTACTGGTTTATAAATCTGAAGAAATTATTCCAACATTTGACTCTAGAGTTTATTGCGACATTATAGGTAACCAAAATTATTTCCATTTTTTAAAGTGAAGAACTAAATTGAGTAGGATTTCAATGCTTCAGCAAGAAGGACCTACTAGCCAACCACCCCACCCCAGGGCTGCAGGTAAAGAATTCCTCTAATCGGTTAACAAACAACCAATCTGACACTGGCAAACAAAATAGGCTGCTAAAGATAATAAAAGATTGTCATGAAAAGTAATGTAAACAAGTTGAATAGAACAAGCACTATCCTGGAGTATTTGTACATGGTTTGGATTTTGGATAGATTGATTCTTTGTTTTAAAAATCCTAGCACCTAGAGGAAAAGGGAAAGTTGGCAGAGCTCCTGCTCCTGCTCCTGGAGTCAGGTGGGGGGCAGCAGGAGGTCTGAGGCTCTGACAAATATTTCCCTGCTTTGTGCCACACCTCTCCTCAAAGAGCTGTGGATTCTCTCTGGCAAAGCATCACACAAAGCACTCAATCCACAGCTGGTAAGGAGCACAGGAAGCAAACCTCCTTGATGCCTCCAACCAAACGCTCCCTGAGGGCACACACCCAGCCAGGGCTCCAAGAACTAACAGCCCCTATGGCAGGAAGTCCAGATCACCAAGCAGCTGCCCACTTGGGTCCCAGAGAAATACGGGGATTTACCTGGAGCACTCTCTTGCAGAATTTTTTAGACCATCTGAAAGGCACAGAAAAATGCCTGAGAGAGTTTGAATTCTTTATTTTACATAAAAGAAATCCAGTCTGCAGACACATACAATGTTTGTGGTCTACGAAACTGCAAACAGGTTGACAAATGCCCAACCTGAGGGTACCTGCTGGTTCCTTCCGTTTTTCTGACGGGCTTGCCCAGTGGCCTCTGCCTGAGGAGAGGCAGAATATTCCCCTCACTCCCACGCAGATTTCTAGCAGGGGCTGCACACCTCACCCACTGGCACAGCAAAGGTGGGAGCCCCTAGAAAGAAATCTGACTCATCCCCAAAGCCGGCTGTGGCCAGCTCCGGCCTGGAGAGGGGTCAGGGGTCCTGGTGGGCTGCACCTGACCTCAGTCCAGGTGTTCACGAGGCGCAGGACAGGAAGAGAATGAGGCAAGCTTTAGTCACCAGAACAAAAGAAGCCAGATTCCTTGACCCTTCAAAACAGTCTGTCCAAGTCCCAACACACTAGAGGCACAGAAAGTTCCAGGCATGCAAGAGAGGGGGACACGCCAAGTCTCTAAGTGGGAACACAGACACCAAGAGAAAGGACAAAAAGGAAACAGAATGGGGGGCTGGGGTCAAAATGTGCCAAAATCAAATCAGGCACAGAAGCACAGTGCTGGCTGAGCCCTTGGCCAGCTCTCTGGGAGGGGACACTCCTGGCACTATAAGGGATCCACAAGTGCCCTTTAAAGCTGGGTCCTAAAAGGGCCCTGGAAGGGCCAGGCCTTGTAAGTCCTCCCAACATGCTGGTGGCCCGGAGACAGCAAAGAGTGGAGAAGGGAGAAAGCGGGGATGGCTCCGAACTGCCTCTTCTCCCCCCCAGACTCCAGCACTTGCACAACCAACTAAACACACCCAGACACATGGCCTCATTGTCTGATACACAGGAAGGCACACACATCTGTACACACAGGTTCGTGGTTAGGTGCACTGATGCACACAGCCTCATTGTATACAATTTACACACACACACGCCCTCCCAGTAGATGTATACAACACATTCAATCCGCCAGTTGGGTGGTGTAGTCACACAATCATACACACTCACAAACTCTGTCAGGAGTGAACAGGCATAGAACCTCTCCAGGCTCATGCTCACGCACACACATTCCACAACCCCTCAGTCAGGCCCATACAAACCTCTAATACACACAACACAAACTCACAGCCTGTCAGGAAAAAAAGCACTCACAACATCTCCGTTAGGTGCGCAAACCCTTACAATCTCACAACCTCTCTGTGAGGTGCACACATATCCTTACAATCACTCTGTCCGCGTGTGCACACACACATACAAGTGCACACACTTAGAACCTCTGTGTTAGGTGCACACACAGGCTCACAACTTCTCTGCGGGCGTGCGCGCACACAAACTCACAACCTCCCGGTTAGATGCACACACACTCGCTCCCAGTCTCTCCGCCAGCCCCTGCACACTCACACTGGCTCAGTCGGCACACGCACTCTGGCAGCCTCGCTCTCCTCCGGGCGCACCCCACACCCACGCACCCTCCGGGCCCTGTGCACCCCTCCCCCAGGCCCATGCCGGCGCCCGGCAGTGAACTCCAGCGGCGCGGGGTGTGCGCTCGCCCCCAGCCCGCGGCCGCCTGCGCCCCTCCTCACCTTTCTCGCCCGCGCCCGGCAACCGGCCCTCGTCCTCCTTGGGGTTGGTCACCTGGGTGATGATGGCCGGGCCGTCCATGGGTGCGCGGCGCGGCGGCCGCCCGCAGGCCCGGCCCCCCGCAAGCCAAGCGCGCGGGGGCGCGGCGCGGGGGGCGCGGGGGCGCGGCGCGGGGGGGCGCTCGCAGCCGCTGCCTGGGCGCGCCCGCCGCCCGGCCCCGCGCTCTGGGAGAGGCGGCCCGGGCCCGCGCCCCAGCTCCCGCCGCCGCCGCCGCTGGGCTCGAGCGGCCGCCGCCTCGTCACCATGAACCCCGGAGCCGCGCCCGGGAGAGCCGCGCACGGGGAGGCGGAGCGGGAGGCCCGGCGCCGCTGGAAGCGGGAGCGGGCGGGCGAGGGGGAAGGAGCGAGCGAGGGCGGGAGGGCGGGAGGGCGGGAGAGAGGGAGGGAAGGAGAAAGGAAGGGAGGGAAAGAAGAAGGGCGGGCGGGTGGGTGTGTCCCGGCCCGGGGACCGGCCTCCGCCGCGGGCTCTGCCCGCTCGCCTGCTCGCCTGGTGGGGGAGAGGGGAGCGGGGCCGACACAGGGTGAGTGGAGGGCGGGAGGGGGCGGCCGCGCGCGCGGGGGCCCGGGGCAGTTGAGTGGGGTGAGGGGCTCGGGGTGTAGCGGACGGCAGAGGGGCTCGGGGGGTTAGAAGTGAGGGGTGTCAGGGGGGCCTGGCAGAATGAGTGAGGTGAGAGGCCTGGGGTGTGAGAGATGTGGGGAGGAGTCTGAGGCAGATGGGTGGGGTGAGGGGAGCGGGGGGATTCGCGGGGGCCCGTGGGGGGCACTGGAAGGATTCGGAAGGGTGCAGTGTGGGAGCCCGGGGGCCGAGGGGGCATGGCATGGAGGCAGGAGCGAGGAAGGGGGCCCGAGGAGGGATATTTACCGCGAGGAGGCGCGGGAAGTGCTGGCGGAGGTGCTGTGAGGGTGTCTCGGGAAGGTGCTGGGCGAGGGGCGTCCAGGCGAGGGAACCGAGGGGCCTGGGACGTGAGTGCGGAGGGAAGCGGTGTGCAGAAGTGGGGGCTGCCCAGGAGCGGTAGTGACACCCAGACGGCCCGCAGAGGGGCCCGGGCGCGGCGCTGCTGTGATGGAGACCGGGGAGCGTGGGGAAGGTTCGGAGAGGCCCAGGGCTGCGCTCCCCAGCTTGAGGGGTCCCAGGAGTGAGCGGGATCGGGAGTGATCTGTGCAGAGAGGGAGTCTGCGGACCGGGCCAGAGGCTCAGGTTGTTCGGATGCTGGCGGGACTCGCGTCAGCATTCGGCCCCAGAGCCCGCGTGAGGGGCGGCGGGTCCTGAAGGACCAACCTCCTGCACGTGAGGGTGTCGTGACTGAGAGGGGCCTGGGCAGTGGGCATTTTCGGGTGCTGTGCAGCAAGGGGACCGGGGGAGTCCGTCGAGGGCAGAAGAGCGGAAGGCGCTGGTGGCAGACCAAGTCTGGCAGGGACTGTGCTTGTGCAAGGCAGCTGGCCACTGTCAGGCCTAGGACGACGGCCAGAGCGTGGGAGAGACGACAAAGTGCCTCCTCAGCCTGGGAGCGTCGGGGCCTTTGGACGCCCGCGTCCTGCGCTTCCAACTTGCAGGCCACACTCTGCAGCCCCGTAAGCCGGGGGGGCGGGGTAGTGCCGCAGGAGGGCGGGCTCGGGGGTGGGGCAGGAGCGCTCGCGCGCGCTCTCCACGAATCAGGAGGGCCTGGGAGGGCCTACAGGGCGCGACGTCGGTGGGCAGGGTTCAGTGGGCGGCCTGAGGCGAAGAGCTGCTTGCCTCCGCCTGCTAGGTTGCGCGCGCACTTCAGGCCTTGCGGGCATGTCCAGCTCTTCTGTGGCTTCCAGCAGGCGAGGCCAAACAGGATCTTTCTCACTTCCCCACATCTCCTGGATCCTGGAGCTGATGCAGTCAGGTCCCGTGCTCACCGGGGGAACCGGCGAGCCTCTCCAAAGTATTAAAGGACACTTCCGGAAGAGCCTTTGGCCTGTGGTCAGCCCGCAGACATCGGTGGTCTCTGTACCTGTAGGAGCCCCATGAGGGTCCAGGTGTGGGAGACAGTCCTGGGACAGGGCTTCTGCGGCCGAGGCAGGTGGAAAGGCACTCCAGGGGAGCTGCTGTAAAAGGTAGTTGGTAGGCAAGAGGTGGGCGTTCTGCTCCAAATCCAGGACCTCCACTGGCATTCTGGCTCTGTGTGTGTGGGCGGGACCAGGTGCCAGTTGCCCTTGGGGCGTGCTCACGTGTGAGTAGCTGCTTTTCCAAGGGCACCTTTGGGACCCCAGTGAATCACCTCATGGGGTAGATCCATGATAGTTGAAGAAGTGCCCTTTTAGTCAGGAAGGCAAGCCCTAGTGTAATAGCCCAGGCTCCAGGGCATGCCCTTCTTAATCCTCCCAATACAGACCACAATACTGGGACGGACTCCCAATACTCCCTAATACAGACCACATTAGGGCCCCATGGCAGCTAGCATTTCCCTTGTTCTAACTTCTAATGCTCTTCACATTTGTTATGAGGGTGTGGCTGACCTGGGACCTGGTGAAATCAATTTTCTAAAATAAGAAAAATAAAAAAGAAAAAGACTTCTGAATTCTAAGGGGTCAGAGAAGGATCTTCCAGAGATTGCTGAGTGGGGAGGGCCTGGGGATATGGTTCTACAGTTTTTGGTCATAACCACAAAGATTAGCATCTCTGCTGCCTGGTCGATGAAGCATCCCAAATAGTCCATCAGCGAGGGCAAAGTGATGGAAACATTTGGAGTCACTGATTAACATGCTTGAGGGCTGGATCCCTTATTTGGGAGGTGGGAGTACTTCCAGAGCTTCTTTTCACTTAATGAAGGCTGGGAAGCTCAGAGCTCAGTGGTACAGGGCTGGAGGAAGTCATTTTCATATATAGAGTCTTTCTTGTTTGGCCTCTTTTGTAGCAATGACTCCCCAGGACCCTCCAGTAACAATTTTCCTTTACCTGCATCCCCCACCATCCTCAGGTTCCTGAGATCACCTTGAAAAAAAAAAAACCCTTACCTTCGCCCAAGTCTTTCAGGCTCAAGCAAGAAAACAACTTGCTATCTTTTAAGTCCTTGTTCCCCTCAGTTATGCTCTTTGATTTATTATTTTATCAATATTAATAGAATCAAAGAAAAGTATCACCTATAGCCCTATCACCATCCCTTAGTCCATCTCTAATTTCCTCCATTTCTCCCTGTCCTTGCCTATATGCTGACATAATTTTATGTAGCTATAAAAAAGCCATGTTTAAAATTATAAGGTTAGCATTTTCTTATGTGGTGACATAATTGCTGTTACTACTATTATAAGTGATTGCATAATACCTTACTGAAACAGTCTTAGATAACACAGTATTTTGGTTTTACACATGAAAGAAAGATTCAAAAATTGTTGGGACAAGTACCTATCCATGAGGAAAAAATATATCTTTATCCCAGTCCTTACAGCACATTCAAGATAGACTGAATAATTAAATATAAAAAATTAACATAAACCAGAACAAATGGGTAAGTGCTTTTTGATCTTGGATGGGAAAGGCCTGAGAGTGACAAAAACTTAAGAAATTGCCAGGATAAGACTGATAAATTTGGCTATATTCATTCAACAAACATTTATTGAGTGCATATTCTATATGCAAGGTTCTGCTCTAGACACTGGGGATCTCAGAGTTATCTAAAATGACAAGTAGGGAGTTGAGCTATCATACTCTCACACAAGTCAGTCAGTCATAGCCAAAGGCTGTCCCTGGGGGCCTTAAGCCCCTGGGCACTCTGGGGCTCTCTGGGAATAGGAGCAAAGCAGCCCCACTGACCTGAGGACAGGTGCCAGCCATGGGAAGCCAGAGCACATCAAGCCCCAGTGGGGGATGTCCAGAAACAGTGAAAGGGGCCCAAGGGGACCTAGACAGAGCACCAAAGTGTTGGTTGAAGTTACGTTTCCCAAATTCCCATCATACAGTGTCCTTGTACCACCTGTACAAGAACAGGTTTAATATTTTTCTTTAATTTTTATTTACATATAATTCTTTTAATAGGAAACTAATAGATTAGGTTTTGAGTTTTTTGTTTGTTTGTTTGTTCGTTTGTTTTTTGAGATGGAATCTTCCCCTGTTGCCCAGGCTGGAGTGCAGTGGCGCAATCTCGGCTCACTGCAATCCCCACCTCCTGGGTTCAAGGGATTCTCCTGCCTCAGCCTCCTGAGTAGCTGGGATTACAGGCACACACCACCACACTTGGCTAATTTTTGTATTTTTAGTAGAGATGCTGTTTCACCATGTTGGCCAGGCTGGTCTCAAACTCTTGACATCAAGTGATCCACCCACCTCTGCCTCCCAAAGTGCTGGGATTACAGGTGTGACCCACCACGCACAGCCTAGATTTTTTTAAAAAACATACAAATGAGACATGTAGAAAGGACCATGACCTTAGAATGAAGGTGCTACACAGAGTAGGGGGTAAAGATTGGGATACCAAGGGTAGGGGGACATGAGGCTAGGGCTGACGAACCCAGCCCCAAGGGACCAAGGACAGGAGCAGATAGGAAGATGGAAGAAATTGCCCAGGGCACCCTAGCCTGGAGTCTCTGGTAGAGCTCCAAGAGGGAGTGGTTGGAGTTGGACTCAGGTGACACATAGGGGTGACACTGCTCTGTGAGTGCAAGCGTGAGGAGTGAGGCCAGAAAGAGGCTGCCCCTGAGGAAGGAACATTGGGCATTGAGATCAAAATGAGATGGTGATTTGAGGAAAGGGGAACTGGGGGTGGACATCACAGATGGGTGTTCAGCTAGAAGGAGCAGCAGCATGTTCCAGGCCTAGAGGCGAGGGACAGAACATGCTCTGGAAAGGTCTGCAATGGCTGGGATTTTGGACACTGGTGCTGGGTAGCTCTCAGATCAAGCAAAGCCTTGTAAAGCAGGAAAAGCATCTGGGCTTTATTTGGGGGGCTGTGGGAATGACATAATCAGATATGTGTTTAGAATATTTCTGCTGAGGTAGTGCAAGAGGCAGGGAGACCTACAGAAGATATTGCATTAATACAGAAAGAGGATGATGGTAGTTGTGAGGATTAAGGGGGCTAGACAGATTCCAGATACATTTTGGAAGGAGGTTGGACAAGTCTTGCCTACTGCTTGGGCTTGAGGAGTGAGGGATGAGCAAGGAGGAAATGGCCTCCAAGTTTCTGGCTTGTGGGCCCAGACAAAGTTGAGGGCCCTTTGCAATGCTCTCTGCCTCCATCATTCGCAGCCTGCCCCTGCCCTGCTCGCCACCTTTGAATCTCTCCTGGCGGGCACTGTTTCTTGGTCTGCTTTTTCTCCTCTTTGTGGGCATCTCAGTCTCAAGTTTTGTGTGTCTGTTACTCAGACTCTGTCTCTCGCTCTCTGTCTCAGGTATTTTTCTATGTCTCTGTCTCTTTCTGAGTCTAGCTTCACATGTCTCTAGCTCAGTCTTCCCAGCCCTTTCTTTCAGGAGCTGGGCCTGAGGGTGGTAAGTGTCCTATTGGAAAAGAAGTGGAAGTTGGATTTGGGCAGAGATTCGTGGTGATTAGTAAAGTGGAAATGAACCTGAGCCCACCCACAGGTCTCTCTCCTGGGGTCACCTTGGGACCTAGATGAGGTTCCTCCAGGCAGCAGCCCTTCTCTCCTACTGGGAACCAGGCCCAGAGTCTGAAATCAGTTCCAAAGAGCCCTGTGCTAGCCTAGGCAGGCCAAACCACTCCCACACCAAGTATGTATCGGATGCCCTTATTGTGCCAGGCTAGGGCCACATGCAGTGGACAAAATACCCTTAAGGGGCTCACAGCCTAATGGAGGAGGCAGAAGAGCAATCAGAGGGTGGCACAGAGTAGAACTGATTTATTCTCCAGGGAGTCCCCACAGAGGTGATGATGCTAACAGTGTCATTTCCAGAGCCTTCAGTTCCTGGATGAGCGGACTTTTTCATCTACAATCTCCACAGAGAAGGCTGTATTTGAGGAGAAGTAGGACATAATGACGGAGGAAGAGGTGGAGGTCCTGAAGACCAGGTTGAGTTTGGAATTTAACCTAAGGGTAATCTGGAGCCACTGAGACCTCTTGAGCAAGGAACAGGCACCAGTTCAGAAACTAGTTAAGATCTGAAGGTTAAAGTCAAAACTCAGACCAGCTTAAGCAACAGTGGGGGCTCTACTGGCTCATGTAATCAAATCACAGTTACATGCCTGGGCTGGAGTGGCCTGCGAGTAGCATCTGAAGCAAGGAGATAGAGATCTCTAGGGGAAGGATGTGACCTCCAGCTACTACTTTTCCCCATAACCGGGATGATCAAGGTGTTAGGAAAGGCAGAGGACATCCTTACACCTCAAGACACCCTGTATTCCCCACTCAGCTTGTTCCAGGACACCATCCCTAAGGGATCCCCAGAAGCTCATCCTTCTGCCTTCAACACCCATAACTCCCATGCTTCCTCAACATCCTGATCCTTTCTTACCAAGACCCACTCTCCCCCATCACACATGGATTCTTCCAATCAAATGTCTATGTCCACTGACACCTGGCTTCCTAGCCATCTTCTACCTCTACCCTTGTCCCCAGGGATGTTCTCTACTTGTCCCCAGGTGGGACCTGGGGACAGCATCCTTCCCATCTAAAGACACTTCACTCCCAAGAATAAGGCTTTCAAACGGGTCAGTGGTCCAGCAGGTGCAGCCCGCCCCCTGGTGGCCACAATGTTGTGTGGTCCTTTTCCTGAGCCCAGCTGAATGTGGAAGGCCTCTCTCCCTGCCAGTTCCTCAGTGTACACCACAGTCAGAGTGGGCTCAGTCGTGTCTCTTACCTTACCTGTCATGATTTGCACTCTTGTTCAGTTTTCCCCAGAGTATTAGCAGAAATGCCCTCAGGAGGCTGGGCGCAGTGGCTCACACCTGTAATCCCAGGACTTTGGGAGGCCAAGGTGGGCAGATCATTTGAGATCAGGAGTTCAAGACCAGACTGGCCAATGTAGTGAAACACCCGTCTCTACTAAAAATACAAAAATTAGCTGGGCATGATGGCGCAGGCCTGTAATCCCAGCTACTCGGGAGGCTGAGGCAGGAGAATCACTTGAACCCGGGAGGCGGAGGCTGTAGTGAGCTGAGATCGCGCCACTGCACTCCAGCCTGGCAACAGAGTGAGACTCCATCTCAAAAAAAAAAAACAAAAAAGAACGCCCTCAGGAATATGAAGGCCTGAGTGCCTGTCTGGAGAGGGTAGAAAGCAGGGGAACTGGAGCGATGTGCCCCACTTGGCAGCCAGTCTTGGAGGAGGAAAATGAAAGGCAAAGTGGATGCAAGCCACTGGTGAAGGAAAAAAGGGCAGTCAACCAGGGTCCTGGGCACACAGAGAAAAGGGCATCTGGCCTAAAGCTGGTGGTCAGGAGATATTTGGGGAATTTGAGAACAAGACACATCCTGATCTGAGATAGACTCTAGGACCTTGGGAATGAGCTGAAACATTCTTAGCGTACCCAGAAACCCAAGAAGCCTTCCTGGAGGGGGACACGCCTGCCACCACTTCTGTACCTCCAAAATTACAGCCCTGCCTTACCCAGAGAGTTTGGGTGCAAAAAGAGGACATGGCCTCAGGCTTGGGCCCTCTCTGACAGCCCCGGCTGGGGGAGGGCATGGCCCTGCCCTGAAACCCTATCACAATAGAATAGCTCCCAGAGCAGAGGGGGCAGGGTATCTCTGTGTGCCCTCAGCCCACTAGCAGGAGTGGCTTTGGCTCCTGAAAGGGCAGAGAGTCACAGAGTCTCAAGTTGATTTAGTGACTCTGGAGCCATTGAGCCCCTTGAGGTGGAACCCCACACTTAGCCCCTGTGTGGATTGTCCCTTGGATGACTCCCCATATCTCAGCTAGCAGGTATCATGTGGCCTGGCTGATGGAGGTTACTTTTGCTTGGCTGCTGTCATCTGTCGCCTCTCTCAGCCAGGCTCCCCAGGCCCTGGGCTCTGGCCCAGCCACAGGTACCCCCTTTATTCCCTGGCCTATGCCTACACAGGCTGTATTGGAGCTGAGGTGAGCAGACCCAGACGTGGCCACACTCTGTGGTGTGAATTCTATGTCACCCGTCATCCCAAGGCTGCCTGCTGATGAAGAGGAAGGGCCAACCCATATGTGCATCACTGCATGCACCCGTGTATATATTAGGGGGTCCATATGCGTGTGTATGCAGCCCCTTCTGGGAAGGTAGTTGCCCTCTCACATCTTTTATAGCATCAGCTTTGACAGGCAGCTGCCATGGCAGACCTCCCACTGGCACCATTCACATGGGCGGTGCCTTGGCTGGGCAAGGGAGATATTTCACGGGCAGGTCTGGTCACAGACACACACCTTGGTACGTGCAGCTACATGCTCATTTGTACTTGGGCTCACACGTGACAAGGCTGTCTCTGCCCAGGCTGGTTTCTCTACGTTGGCACTGCCTGTTTCTCCCTCCCTCCCTCCCGCTCTGGCCCTCCAGGTCTCAGCCCTGACAAGCACTGCCCTCCTCTTTCAGCTCCCCTGGAACCCAGCCTCCTACCCTCTTGGTCTTGGAAGGTTCTCAGAGCCTCCCTCATGAACATGATCACAGATGAGCATTTGTAGGCAATTTCTACTTTTCACACTAACTTCCCAGAGGCCTGGGTAGAGAGAGAGCTGGGCTCTCTCCTCTGGAACAGGGGTCAGGGTATGGGAGGGAAGAATACAAGGAGGTGGCCAGGGGCCGTGGCTCATGCCTTTAATCCTAGCACTTCAGGAGGCTGAGACAGGCGGATTTCCTGAGCTCAGGAGTTTGAGATCAGCCTGAGCAACACAGTGAATCCCATCTCTACTAAAATACAAAAAATTAGCTGGGTGTGCTGGCGTGCACCTGTAGTCCCAGCTACTCGGAGGCTGAGGCAGGAGAATTGCTTGAACCTTGGAGGCGGAGGTTACAGTGAGCCGAGATTGCACCACTGCACTCCAGCCTGGGCGACTGAGACTCCTTCTCCAAAAAAAAAAAAAAAAAAAAAAAAGAATACAAGGAGGTAAAAAAAAAAATCTCAGTAAATTAGTCAGTCTGTCTCCTGACTCCACTCTCCTTCCCTCTCTCCCACTTCCCCCTCCCCTGCCACACAGCCCTCCTTGGTTGCTGCTAACATACACTCAGGCGCCCCTGATGCACACTGTTCCCCTCCCCCATACACTGCCAACCCACATTCCTAAATGGGGCTCTTAACCCCAGTGAACTGTCCCCATCTACCCCATCTGGCTCTGATCCCACCATGGCCATGGGAGGCACTCCTTGTGATCCACACCTGAGTGCCTGGCTGGGATGGGTGGAGAAGGAGGCCCTATCTCAGCTGAAAGAGGCAACAGGCAAGTGGCCTCCTCTCTCTGGACCTTCCTTTCTAGGCAAGAACACACAGATGATGGTTTGTTGCCAGAAGGCTCTGGAATGGGTGCAAACCAGAAGGGGTTCCCTGTCCTGGTCTGAGTTTAGGGATGGGACCAAAGAAGTAAAATTTCTGGACGTTCTACTAAAAATTATTTTTAAAATATCAAAAGCAAAAAATATTTTGGGGAAACGGATACTAGCCACATGGAATTGACTAGACGTTGAGAGTTCACACAGCTTGTTAATATTTAGTGTCTTTCTGACTCCCTGATGGCCCTTGGTAAGAGAAAAGAAGGAGGGTGGTTGTCACCCATCCTGCCTGTTTACTGCACACCAAGCTGTGGCTGGGTACCGTGTTTCCAAAGGCGAGAGGCTCCCTTGGGTGCAGGAAATGGAGACCATGTCAGGGAAAGATCAGCATGAGGGTCCTGGAGTGAGAGTCTCTGCCCATCCAAGGCCTCACAGGAACTCAGCTCAAACCATAAAGAAAGCTATTATATCACCTGGCAGGCCTCAGGGATGACCTCAGGAAACTGGGTCTTTCAGGAGCAAGGCCACTCCAGACTAAACTCCTGTTACTCCAGACAAGTCATTTGTCATGAATGTGACTCAGCTGCATCTTTCATCACTGCTTCAGTTTGGGTCTAACCATTTGTCCTCTTGTTAACAACTCACTAATTTTCATAAGTCCCAGTTTAAATCTGGGAGACAGTCTGTTTGCCTTAGTTCATTCCGATTTTTCAAGTTACTATACTTATGTAAAAAATTACCCCCAATTTTAGTGACTTTTACAGAATCAAAAAATACTTATATGCTTATGAATCTGCAGTTTAGGCAGGGCTTGGTGGGCCTAGCTCATCTTTGCTTTCTGTGGGGTCACCTGGGCTGCTTGATAGTGGGAGCTGGACTGATCTGGAGGCTTACTTTCTCGCATGTCACAGTTGATGCCGGCTGTTGGCTGATGCTTTGGGCTGTTGGCTGGAAAACCTACAAATGCTATTGACCATGTCTTTTATTTTCTGTACTCTGATGTTTTGACATATTGGGGTCTTGTTTTTGGCATCTTGGGGCCTTGCTGACCTTGGAGGGACTGCCCCTTTGATAGCAGATTCCTAGAGATAGCAAATAACTGACCTGTGAGGGTGTCTTTCATATGCAAGCCAGTCAATCCAGTGCCCACATTCCCAACCACCCCCTTTATCCAGCAATTACAGGCCCCTATTTTCCTGCCCTAGTCACCCAGGGGCCAAGTACCAGACTACTGGGGCCAGCCCCTACACCTCAGAGCCCACCAAAATTATTTAAACTAGCTAATCCTGAACCTGCTTACCCTGTTCCTTTTTGTAGAAACCACACTAAATGCCTTTGCCATAGTTTTCCTTTCTCCCTCAGGTTCCTGACCAAGCTGGTGCTTCTGCGTGTGTTCCTGCATGACTTGGTGTGTCCCCTTCTCTTGGATCTGTGAGTAACAAACTATCTTTTCTTTTTTTCTTTTGAGACAGAGTCTCGCTGTGTCTGTGTCACTGAGGCTGGGGTGCAGTGATGCAATCTCAGGTCACTGTACCTCCGCCTCCTGAGTTCAAGTGATTCTCCTGCCTCAGCCTTCCGAGTAGCTGGGATTACAGGGATGCACCATCACACCCAGCTAATTTTTGTATTTTTAGTAGAGAGAGGGTTTCACCATGTTGGCCAGGCCGGTCTCAAACTCCTGACCTCAGGTGATCTGCCCGCCTTGGCCTCCCAAAGTGCTGGGATTTACAGGCATGAGCCACTGTGCCCAGCCTAATCTGTCTTTTCAATGGCAGTCGTCTCTTGACCTGTTGGCCTCTTCATACCTGAATAATAATAAAACCTATATTTTCTTTTTTGTTTGTTTGTTTGTTTTTGAGATGGAATTGCTCTTGTTGCCCAGGATGGAGTACAATGGCGTGATCTCAGCTCACTGCAACCTCCGCCACCAGCCTGAAACCTATGTTTTCAAACAGTGATCTCTCCAGTGGCCTGGGCTTCCTCACAACATGGTGGCTGGTTGCAAGGGTGTGTCCTCTGAGAGAGTCCCAGGCGGAAGCCATATCACATTTTATGACCTAGTCTCAGAAATTACTCAGTGTCTTTTCTACTGCATTCTGTTCACCAAGACTATCATAATGTCCCACCTAGGTTCAGGGGGAGGAGAAATAGACTCCATCTCTTGAAGGGGCATGGCAACGTGCTAGAAGAGCCTGTGAATGGAAATACTGTGGTAGCCAGTTTTGGAAATTACAGTCTTCAACGATCATCCTCTCTGGGCAGAGCTCTTCATGCCAGGACACCTCATAGGTCACTGGCCAGTCAATGGGGTACTGTTTACAGGTCAGATATCTAATCCTGTCCCACTCTTGCCCTTAGACCTGAGCAAAAGGGACGCTTGCCCTGGGCCTGGTGCTTTAGAAGTCTTTATTTAGGCCTTTGTCCAGTTGTTCCCTTCCCCATGGGGTAAGAAATTTGCAGGACACCAGGGCATGTGGCTACCTGAAGTCTGTGCCTCCACCTCCCCTGTTACGAAATGCACCTGGGGCACCTAGGACCTTGGAATTTCCTATCCCACAGGCTTGAGCATGGGGCCCACACATCAGGGGAGAGCAGTGAGGCAGCTGTGAGCCAGGAGCCTGGGCTTGGCTGTCCCTGTGTTGTCACACTCCGGTGCAGCACTCCAAGGAATCTGTTCGTTTAAAATTCGAACTTGGTCATTCAGCCTCAGATTTTGTTGCATTTTCCTGATTTAGATGGAATGGAATGAAGAAAACTCCACAGCATACAGAATTGGCCTCCATTTGCTCTCTTGTCCTGCAAATGTCAGAGGTGGGCCTGCCCTGACAGCTGTGGAGGGGGGCATTTCCTGAGGTGTAGAGAAGATCCCCCTTCCCTTTCCTCCCAGCTTTGGGTAGAGCCTGAGGCAGCTGGAGGTGTGTCAAGCCCTGTCATGGCAGGACTCTGTCTTCACCAGTCTTCACAACCTCTCTGTTAATAATGCCATCTTACAGATGAGGAAACAGGCTTCACGAGGTTAAGTGGCTTGCTCCATCAGAGCTGAGATGGTGATGATTGCCTTTGTGTCGGGGAATCCTATCTGTCCGGGAAGCCGCTGCTCAAGATGACAGGGCAAGTCATTGATTGGGAGTTTCCAGATCTTAACTCTAAGCTCCCGCCACTCCTGCATGCTGTGCTTAAAGCAGGATGGCGTAGGAAATGATTGTACTGGATTTATCTGAGGAAGGGAAGGCATTGACAGAAATCTAGAAAATTATTCTGGGATAAGCATAATCATTAGTCAAACCTCCTCAGCCTCATTTTTCTGGAGATGAGGTTACCTGGACGAGGAGCACGTGATCAGGGGCTAAGACGGGTACTTTTCCTGCGTGCTGGATAGGGAGGCCTGAAACCCAGAATCTACTAGATCTGTGCTCCTTGGGCTTCCCTGTCCTTAGGAAGCTAAATTTACAACTCCAAACTGCATATCTATTGGACTATTCCCAGAGAGATGTTAAGAGATACAGATAAATAGCAAGAGATTAAGACACAGGCCCAGGCCGGGTGCAATGACTCATGCCTGTAATCCCAGCACTTTGGGAGGCTGAGATGGACAGATCACTTGAGCCCTGGAGTTCAAGACCAGCCTGGGCAACATGGTAAAACCTCATTTCTACAAAAAAAAAAAAATGCAAAAAATTAGCCAGGTGTGGTGGTGTATGCCTGTAGTCTCAGCTACCCGGGAGGCTGAAGTGGGAGGATCACGTGAGCCTGGGAGGTCGAGGCTACAGTGAGCCGAGATAGTGCCACTGCACTCCAGCCCAGGCAACAGAGTGAGACTCTGTCTCAAAAAAAATATATATATATATGTATATATATATATATATAGAGAGAGAGAGAGAGAGAGAGAGAGAGAAAGAGAGAGAGAGAGAGAGAGAGTTCCTGACCAGCCTGGCCAACATGGTGAAACCCCATCTCTACTAAAAAAAATACAAAAAAATTAGCTGGGAGTGGTGGCACGCACCTGTAATCCCAGCTACTCAGGAGGCTGAGGCACAAGAATCACTTGAACCCGGGAGGCGGAGGTTGCAGTGATCCGTGATGGAGCCACTACACTCCAGCCTGGGTGAGAGTGAGACTCTATCTCAAAAAAAAAAAAGACACAGGCCCAAAGTTATGTCATATCTGTCATGCTTCTCCTTTGCTTGTGCTTTCCCTGTGCCAAGAATGTTGTTCTTTGCCCCTCCCTTGAGTTACCCTTGCCTGCTTCCCAAGACCCAGTTCAGAGGGAGCCTCCTCCTCTAAGTTTAGTATTCTTGGTCTGTGTCTTGAGACTTATTAGTGGCTTTTGGACTTATTAATAAGCAGGAAAGAGTGATTGTAGACTGAGAAGGGAGAGGTGGCATGAATGTCCTGAGATCAGTCTGTGAACTGATTTAACATATCTTGGCTCTGGCACATTGGGCTGCACCCTCAGATGTGACCCTCCCATATGCCGCACGAGGTCCCTGGGGGAAGCCCTGACACTCACCTGGCTTCTCCTTCTTACACAGAAAAGCTTGACATGCCAACAATAACATTTCTGTTTCCAAAATTGAAACAGATTTTTCTTTCTTCATAACTTTACTTGTTCAACTTTAGAGTTTCTTTTTTCCCTTTATTTATGCAAACATTTTTTCTTCAACAGTGGGGTTCTAAAAGATAATTTGATACCCCTCTAGCATCGTGTATGGTTGAGGCCAGAAACCAGGAAGCCAGAGTACTTGCACTTCTCCAAGGCAGCTGTTGAAATGCAGGACTTCCATGGGGGAAGGACTGGACCACGGTCCCCTAGCCATCTTGGAGGACTGGGGCTGCCTTCGGATTTTAACTGTTTCATTGTCAAATTATCAAATTGGTTATTTATATAAGGGCTGTCTGCTTATCTGGTGCTAAGCTGGTTTAAAAGTTCCAGATGCAGCAAAAGCATTCTCCAGCACTGGCAACAGTTATCAGCAAGACCACACTCAAAATCAACTCAAGAAAACAGCTCTAAACCAGAGATTGCAAACTGGCAGCCCAGGAGTGAAATCCAGCCGACTGACCCATGCTGGTAGCAAACGTGGTTTGTTATTATTCTTGTTGTTTTTTTGTATTTGCCTGTATAGAGCAGACTGTCATTACAGTGTTTTTTTTTAAATAATTACTTACAGAAACATCATAAGAATAAAGAATTCCTATATACCCTTTAACTAAATTCCCCAAAGATTAACTTTTTACTCCCCAATTGTATTATTTGAACCATTTGAAAGTAAACTTCAGGCCTATCCTCAACATTTCAAAATATCTTTAAAAAGGACAATCTCTCATATAACCATGATACAATGATCAAATCAATCAGTAAATTAACATTGATACAGTGTTATCAACTAATCCACAGACCTCATGCTTATTTCACCAATTTACCTATTTTGTCTTTTATAGCAAAGGGGAATATTTATGTTTTCTGGTCTAGGATCCAATTTAAGATTATGTTTCCCTGTTTCTTTAGTTTCCTTTAATCTGGTACAGCCCAGTGATTTTGTAGAATACTCCTTAACATGGGTTTGTCTGTTGTTTCCTCATGATTAGATTCAGATTATGCATTTTTGGTGAGTACTCCAGGAGTGATGTTGTATCCTCACCAGTGCCGCATATGAGGAGGCACTTGACATTGCTTTGTGGCATTATTGATAATGTTAAGTTTGATTACTTGGTTAAGGCAGTGTCTCTAAGGTTTCTTCACTGTAAATTTTGTCCTTTGTATTTTTCCCATTGTAATTAAAAAGCATTTTGTGTATGAGGGAGGTACTTTGAGATGATGTAAATACCCTCATTCTCATAAAACATTTACCCTCTAGTTTTAGCATCTGTTGATGACCCTTGCCTTAATCAGTTATTGCTGTTAAATTTTGGTCAGTGGGAGATTGCTCAAGTTGGGTTTTGAGTACTTTTGACACATCCCTATTATTCTCAAGCTCTTCTTTACTCTGGTACAACAAAATGCTTTGGGCTCATAGGGTCTTTTTCTTGTACCAGCCCTGGAATCAGTTATTTCTCTAAGGAGTCCTGCTTCTTTTTAGTGGAGAATAGTACTTAGAAGCCAAGATCTGGGTGCCAGATGCGCTTATTGCTGCTGCAGTGTCATTGATCCTAGGCTCCCTTGGTGGACACAGCTATATAAATTTATCTATATCTACCTATCTATCATTTATCAATATCAATTAATCTATCTACATCTATATTATTAATCAACCTCTCTATCAATCATCTATTTATATTCAATCTACTAAAACCTGGAGTTTATGATGACACCTCAGATTCCTAACACCACATGATTCAGTATATTTCCTTCTCCTCTTGCCATATTTGTAACTCCCTTCCCTGATAGTGAAAAACTTGACTCCCATTATCCACAATACATTATTTATACACAATGCTCAATCTTAGAATGCCCAGAAAGTAGCTTCAGAATTGCTATCCCATTCTACTGCAAAAACCCAACTCAGTAAGTAGAGTTCAATATTTTTTTACACTGTCTTTGCCTTTTGTCAAAATACTTTATTCAAATATTACTTAGATTAGTTCCTCCACCTCTAATGAGGGTCATTTTTTTTCTGTTTGTGTTTTATGTTAGTGTTTTCTCCCCACCTTGTTTGTTTGTTTGTTTTAGGCAAGTGAAACACTAACACGGTTCTAAAAGTCAGAACTACACAGAAAGGTATCCTCAGAGAAGTGTCACTGCCCTTTGTAACTTACCCCCAACCCACTTCCTACCTACCAGGCATGGACCCTACAACTTTAGGTAATCGTTATCATTACTTTCTGGTTTGTCCTTCTTATGTTTTTGTTGTTGTTGTTGTTGTTCTGTATAGTCGACACAAGTATATATTATGATTTCTCTCTTCTTACATGATAAGTAGCACACAATAGATACTCATTTGTACTTCTCCTTTTCACTTCACAATACAGCCTGCAAATCACTCCACTTCAGTTCATAGAGATATTCCTAATAATCTTTAATTAAAGCCACTGTATAGTATTTCATTGTGTGGACTTAGTATCATTTCTTCAGCTACCCTTCCATGTATGGCATTTAGTATGTTTCCAGAATTTTGCACTACAAACAATGCTATAGTACTTTTTATGTTGTTGGAGAAGTAACTTAAGGTATGTTCCTGGATAACTGGGTCAAAAGGAAGACACTTGTAGTTTTGTTAGGAATTGCAAATTTCCTCCCAGAAAGTTTGTATCAATTTGCATTTTCACCAGCAATGTATGAGAGTACCTCTTTCCCCACAGCCTCACCAACAGAATGTGTTGTTATATTAAACATTTTTTGCCAATCTGCTAGGAGAGAAATGGTACCTCAGCACAGTTTAAATTTGTATTTCTCTTATAATGTGAATTGAACATATTTTTAAATGTTTAAGCCCATTTTAATATCTTTTTTTAGTGACTTATCCATCATGTCTTTTGCCCATTTTTCTATGGACTTATAAAATATCTCACTTCTCACTTTTTTAAAGAGTTTGTTTCTACATTAAGGACATTGGCTCTTTATCTGTGACATAAATGCAAATATTTTCTCCCATTTTGTCATTTGTCTTTTGACTTTGCTTATGGTATTTTTTGCCAAGAAAACATTTTTTTCTTTTAAGGTTTTTTTGGTTGTGTTTTATTTTGTTTTGAGACAGAGTCTCGCTCTGTCGCCCAGGCTGGAGGGCAGTGGCGTGGTCTTGGCTCACTGCAACCTCCGCCTCTTGGGTTCAAGCGATTCTTCTGCCTCAGCCTCCTGAGTAACTGGGACTACAGGTGCGCATCACCATGTCAGGCTAATTTTTGTATTTTTAGTAGAGGTGGGGTTTCACCATATGGCCAGGCTAGTCTTGATCTCCTGACTTTGTGATCCACCCACCTTGGACTCCCAAAGTGCTGGGATTACAGGCATAAGCCACCGTGCCTGGCCTCTTTTTAGTTTTATGTAGTCAAATATATCAATCTGTTCTTTTATTGCCACTGGATTTTGAGTCATAGTTGGAAAGCCTTTCTCTACAACCAGACTATGCAAGACCATATCCATGTTTTCTTCTAGTGCCTGTATGGTTTCATCTTTTACAGTTAGACCTCTGATCCATTTGCAATTGCTTCTCTCGTATGGTGTGAGATAAGGATCCGGATTTTTTTTTTTTTTCTTTGGAGACGGAGTCTCGCTCTGTCACCCAGGCTGGAGTGCAGTGGTACAATCTTGGCTCACTGCAAACTCTGCCTCCTGTGTTCACGCCATTCTCCTGCCTCAGCCTCCCAAGTAGCTGGGACTACAGGCACCCGCCACCACGCCCGGCTAATTTTTTGTATTTTTAGTAGAGATGGGGTTTCACCGTGTTAGCCAGGATGGTCTCGATCTCCTGACCTCGTGATCTGCTCGCCTCGGCCTCCCAAAGTGCTGGGATTACAGGCGTGAGCCACCCCGCTCGGCCATAGGATCCGGATTTTTTAAAATTATTTTTTTAAATTATACTTTAACTTCTAGGGTACATGTGCACAATGTGCAGGTTTGTTACATAGGTATACATGTGCCATGTTGGTTTGCTGCACCCATCAGCTCATCATTTACATCAGGTATTTCTCCTAATGCTATCCCTCCCCCAACACCCCATCCACCAACAGGCTCTGGTGTGTGATGTTCCCCTCCCTGTGTCCATGTGTTCTCATTGTTCGACTTCCACTTCTGAGCGAGAACATGCGGTGTTTGGTTTTCTATCCTTGTGATAGTTTGCTCAGAATGATGATTTCCAGCTTTATCCATGTCCCTGCAAAGGACATGAACTCATCCTTTTTTATGGCTGCATAGTATTCCATGGTGTATATGTGCCACATTTTCTTTATCCAGTCTGTTATTGATGGACATTTGGGTTGGTTCCAAGTCTTTGCTATTGTGAATAGTGCCACAATAAACATACATGTGCATGTGTCTTTATAGTAGCATGATTTATAATCCTTTGGGTATATACCCCATAATGGGATTGCTGGGTCAAATGGTATTTCTAGTTCTAGATCCTTGAGGAATCACCACACTGTCTTCCACAATGGTTGAACTAATTTACACTCCCACTGACAGTGTAAAAAGCCTTCCTATTTCTCCACGTCCTCTCCAGCATCTGTTGTTTCCTGACTTTTTAATGATCGCCATTCTAACTGGTGTGAGATGGTATGTCATTATGGTTTCAATTTGCATTTCTCTGATGACCAGTGATGATGAGCCTTTTTTCATGTGTCTGTTGGCTGCATAAATGTCTTCTTTTGGGAAGTGTCTGTTGATATCCTTTGCCCAGTTTTTGATGGGGTTGTTTGTTTTTTCTTATAAATTTGTTTAAGTTCTTTGTAGATTCTGGATATTAGCCCTTTGTCAGATGGATAGATTGCAAAAATTTTCTCCCATTCTGTTGGTTGCTTGTTCACTCTGATGATAGTTTCTTTTGCTGTGCAGAATCTCTTTAGTTTAATTAGATCCTATTTGTCTATTTTGGCTTTTGTTGCCGTTGCTTTTGGTGTTTTAGTCGTGAAGTCTTTGCCCATGCCTATGTCCTGAATGGTATTGCCTAGGTTTTCTTCTAGGGTTTTTATGGTTTTAGGTCTTACATTTAAGTCTTTAATCCATCTTGAGTTAATTTTTTTAGAAGGTGTAAGGAAGGGATCCAGTTTCAGCTTTCTACATATGGCTAGCCAGTTTTCCCAGCATCATTTATTAAATAGGGAATCCTTTCCCCATTGCTTGTTTTTGTCAGGTTTGTCAAAGATCAGATGGTTGTAGATATGTGGTGTTATTTCTGAGGCCTCTGTTCTGTTTCATTGGTCTATATATCTGTTTTGGTACCAGCACCATGCTGTTTTGGTTACTGTAGACTTGTATAGTTTGAAGTCAGGTCTTGGCTATGCAGGCTCTTTTTTGGTTCCATGTGAACTTTAAAGTAGTTTTTTCCAATTCTGTGAAGAAAGTCATTGGTAGCTTGATGGGGGTAGCGTTGAATCTATAAATTACCTTGGGCAGGATGGCCCTTTTCACAATATTGATGTTTCCTATCCATGAGCATGGAATGTTCTTCCATTTGTTTGTATCCTCTTTTATTTCGTTGAGCAGTGGTTTGTAGTTCTCCTTAAAGAGGTCCTTCACATCCCTTGTAAATTGGATTGCTAGGTATTTTATTCTCTTTGTAGTAATTGTGAATGGGAGTTCACTCATGATTTGGCTCTCTGTTTGTCTGTTATTGGTGTATAGGAATGCTTGTGATTTTTGCACATTGATTTTGTATCCTGAGACTTTGCTGAAGTTGCTTATCAGCTTAAGGAGATTTTGGGCTGAGATGATGGGGTTTTCTAAATATACAATCATGTCATCTGCAAACAGAGACAATTTGACTTCCTCTTTTCCTAATTGAATACCCTTTATTTCTTTCTCTTGCCTGATTGCCCTGGCTAAAACTTCCAATACTCTGTTGAATAGGAGTAGGGAGAGAGGGCATCCTTGTCTTGTGCCAGTTTTCAAAGGGAATGCTTCCAGTTTTTGCCCATTCAGTATGATATTGGCTGTGGGTTTGTCATAAATAGCTCTTATTATTTTGAGATATGTTCCATCAATACCTAGTTTATTGAGAGTTTTTAGCATGAAAGGCTGTTGAATTTTGTTGAAGGCCTTTTCTGCATCTATTGAGATAATCATGTGTTTTTTTTTCATTGGTTCTGTTTATGTGATGGGTTATGTTTATTGATTTGTGTATGTTGAACCAGCCTTGCATCCTAGGGATGAAGCTGACTGGATCATGGTGGATAAGCTTTTTGATGTGCTGCTGAATTCAGTTTGCCAGTATTTTATTGAGGATTTTTGCATTGATATTCATTTGGGATATTGGCCTGAAATTCTCTTTTTTTGTTGTTGTGTCTCTGCCAGGCTTTGGTATCAGGATGATGCTGGCCTCATAAAATGAGTTAGGGAGGATTCCTTTTTTTTCTATTGATTAGAATAGTTTCAGAAGGAATGGTAGCAGCTCCTCTTTGTACCTCTGGTAGAATTCGGCTGTGAATCTGCCTTGTTCTGGACTTTTTGTGGTTGGTAGGCTATTCATTATTGCCTCAATTTCAGAACCTATTATTGGTCTATTCAGAGATTCAACTTCTTCCTGGTTTAGTTTTGGGAGGGTGTATGTGTCCAGGAATTTATCCATTTCTTCTAGATTTTCCAGTTTATTTGCATAGAGGTGTTTATAGTATTCTCTGATGGTAGTTTGTATTTCTGTGGGATCAGTGGTGATATCCCCTTTATCATTTTTTTTATTGCATCTATTGGATTCTTCTCTCTTTTCTATTAGTCTTGCTAGCAGTCTATCTATTTTGTTAATCTTTTCAAAAAACCAGCTCCTGGATTCATTGAATTTTTTTTGAAGGGTTTTTTGTGTTTCTATTTCCTTCAGTTCTGCTCTGATCTTAGTTATTTCTTATCTTCTGCTAGCTTTTGAATTTGTTTGCCCTTCCTTCTCTAGTTCTTTTAATTGTTATGTTAGGGTGTCAATTTTAGATCTTTCCTGCTTTCTCTTGTGGGCATTTAGTGCTATAAATTTCCCTCTACACACTGTTTTAAATGTGTCCCAGAGATTCTGGTACGTTGTATCTTTGTTCTCATTGGTTTCAAAGAACATCTTTATTTCTGCCTTCATTTCGTTATTTACCCAGTAGTCATTCAGGAGCAGGTTGTTCAGTTTCCATGTAGTTGTGCGGTTTTGAGTGAGCTTCTTGATCCTGAGTTCTAATTTGATTGCACTGTGGTCTGAGAGACAGTTTGTTGTGATTTCTGTTCTTTTACATTTGCTGAGGAGTGTTTTACTTCCAGTTATGTGGTCAATTTTAGAATAAGTGCGATCTGGTGCTCAGAAGGATGTATATTCTGTTGATGTGGGTTGGAGAGTTCTGTAGATGTCTATTAGGTCCACTTGGTCCAGAGCTGAGTTCAAGTCCTGGATATCCTTGTTAACCTTCTGTCTCGTTGGTCTGTCTAATACTGACAGTGCAGTGTCTCCCATTATTATTGTGTGGGAGTCTAAGTCTCTTTGTAGGTCTCTAAGGACTTGCTTTATGAATCTGGATGCTCCTGTATTGGGTGCATATATATTTAGGATAGTTAGCTCTTCTTGTTGAGTTGATCCCTCTACCATTATGTAATGGCCTTCTTTGTCTTGGCTTGTAGGGTTTCTGCTGAGAGATCTGCTGTTAGTCTGATGGGCTTCCCTTTGTGGGTAACCCTACCTATTTCTCTGGCTACCCTTAACATTTTTTCCTTCATTTCAATCTTGGTGAATCTGTCAATTATGTGTCTTGGGTTGCTCTTCTTGAGGAGTATCTTTGTGGTGTTCTCTGTATTTCCTGAATTTGAATGTTGACCTGCCTTGCTAGGTTGGGGAAGTTCTCCTGGATAATATTCTGAAGAGTGTTTTCTAACTTGGTTCCATTCTCCCCGTCACTTTCAGGTACACCAATCAAACATAGATTTGGTCTTTTCACATAGTCCCATATTTCTTGGAGGCTTTGTTCGTTTCCTTTCACTCTTTTTTCTCTAATCTTGTCTTCTCACTTTATTTCATTAATTTGATCTTCAATCACTGATATCCTTTCTTCCGCTTGAATGAATTGGCTATTGATACTTGTGTATGCTTCACGAAGTTCTCATACTGTGGGTTTCAGCTCCACCAGGTGATTTAAGCTCTTCTCTACACTGGTTATTCTAGTTAGCCATTCATCTAACCTTTTCTCAAGGTTTTTAGCTTCCTTGCGATGGCTTAGAACATGCTCCTTTAGCTTGGAGAAGTTTGTTATTACTGATCTTCTGAAGCCTACTTCTGTCAACTCATCAGACTCATTCTCCATCCAGGAGAACACGACAGGAGTTGTGTTCCTTTGGAGGAGAAGAGGCATTCTGGTTTTTGGAATTTTCAGCCTTTCTACTCTAGTTTCTCCCCATCCTTGTGGTTTTATCTACCTTTGGTCTTTGATGTTGGTGACCTACAGATGGGGTTTTGGTATGGATGTCCTTTTTGTTGATGTTGATGCTATTCCTTTCTGTTTGTTAGTTTTCCTTCTAACAGACAGGCCCCTCAGCTGCAGGTCTGTTGGAGTTTGCTGGAAATCCACTCCAGACCCTGATTGCCTGGGTATCACCAGTGGAGGCTGCAGAACAGCAAATATTGCTGCCTGATCCTTCCTCCGGAAGGTTTGTCCCAGAGGAGCACCCGCCTGTATGAGATGTCTGTCAGCCCCTACTGGGAGGTGTCTCCCAGTCAGGCTACACGGGGGTCAGGGAGCCACTTAAGGAGGCAGTCTGTCCATTATCAGTGCTCGAACACTGTGCTAGGAGAACCACTGCTCTCTTCAGAGCTATCAGGCAGGGACGTTTAAGTCTGCAGAGCTTTCTGCTGCCTTTTCTTCGGATATGCCCTTCCCCAGAGGTGGAATCTAGGGAGGCAGTAGGCCTTGCTGAGCTGCGGTGGGCTCCGCCCAGTTCGAGCTTCCCTGCCACTTTGTTTACACTGTGAGCATAGAACCACCTACTCAAGCCTCAGCAATGGCGGACACCCCTCCCCCTGCCAAGCTCCAGCATCCCCCGGTCGATCTCAGATTGCTGCGCTAGCAGCGAGCAAGGCTCCATGGGCGTGGGACCCACCGAGCCAGGCACGGGAGGGAATCTCCTGGTCTGCTGGTTGCAAAGACCGTGGGAAAGGTGCAGTATTTGGGCAGAAGCGTACCATTCCTGCAGGTACAGTCACTCACGGCTTCCCTTGGCTAGGAAAGGGAAATCCCCCAACCCCTTGTGCTTCCCGGGTGAGGCAATGCCCTGCCCTGCTTTGGCTCACCCTCCATGGCTGCACCCACTGTCCAACCATTCCCAATGAGATGAACCAGGTACCTCAGTTGGAAAGGCAGAAATCACCCATCTTTTGCATCGATCTTGCTGGGAGCTGTAAACTGGAGCTCTTCCTATTCGGCCATCTTGGAAGTGACTCCCATGATCCAGTTTTATCTTTGTTCCACAGCTAACCATTGTTGCAGCACCACTTAATAAAAACTCAGTATTTGTCCCAATGTTTTGAAATGCCACCTTGAATGTATACCACTTTTCCATATGCACTTAGGTTGATTTCCGGCCTTTTTATTCTGTTCTGCTGGTCCATCTATTCATGCACCAGTACCGCACAGTTTTAATTACAGAGGCTTTGTAGACGTTTTAATGAATAGTAGTGCTAGTCTCCAATGCCCACTATAGCTTTTTGCCCCTCAGTATTTTCCTAGATATTCGCAGGAATGTTTCTTTTTCCATATAAACTGTAGTATCAACTTGCTTAGCCCCAGTAACAAAAACTGTCCTCAAAGTGTTCTTAAAATTTAGAATGACTTCTCAGCATTAAAGGTGGGGAGATATCACATGAAAATTGTATTTCTGGTTTCTCTTGAAAATTGGGAAGCGCTGTCACATGGGCTTTTTTTTTTTTTTTCCCACATGACCTATTGCTGTAGGTCAGCCTGCACACAGGCCTGTGCTCTTCAAGACCACGCAGGCCTCACCATTCCCTCTGACAGCTCACTGCTGCCCTTCTTCACACACGCAAGTTCCCTGTGTGACATCTGAGTTGGTGACTGTGGCTTCAGATGATCACGAAAGTATGTTCCAGGCCCATCCTCCACCCTCTATTTCTCTGTCTCACAACACAAATGTTAAGAAATGGATTTGTGTTGCTTTGTTCACTGCTGTTATTTCCAGGACCTAAGAAGAGGGTGTGGGGCGTGTCTGGCCCTAGGTAAGTCTTTGTTCAATGAAGGCATGTCATAGATAGGAAACAAGAAATGATCAGAACATGTTCTGTCTTCAGAAAACCATTGAAAATACATCAAATGGAACCACACACTGTGGGTGGGAGTGACTTGGTACAGCCCTTATAGAGAACAATTTGGCAATATTTGTCAAAATTACAAACACATAGATCAGTTGTTCCTGCAGTTCCATTTCTAGAAATTTGTCCTAAAGTATATTTGCACACAGGAAAAATGACGGTGTACAGGGTTAATTATTGCAGTAATAATAAAAGATTGAAAAAACCTAAATTTCCCTCAAAAGGGGACTGATTATATAAACTATGGTTTATCCATATATTGGAAGAATGGAATGTTATACAGCTATAAAAAGAATAAGGGGCCAGGCACAGTGGCTCACGCCTGTAGTCCTAGCACTTTGGGAGGCCAAGGCAGGCTGATCACTTGAGTTCAGGAGTTTGAGACCAGCCTGGCCAACTTGGTGAAATCCCATCTCTACTAAAAATACACAAATTATCCAGGTGTTGTGACACTTGCCTGTAATCCCAGCTACTTGAGAAGCTGAGGCAGGAGAATTGCTTGAACCCAGGAGGTGGAGATTGCAATGAACCGAGATTGCACCACTGTACTCCAGCCTTGGTGACAGAGTGAAACTGCCTCAAAACAAAACAAAACAAAGGGTGCTATCTGTGAAATGAGAGGGAAAACATGAGGTGCAGAATAACGTATCTAGTGGGCTACCTTTTATGTATAAAAGGAAAACAACCCAAAGGAAATATTCATATTTGCTTGCAAGTATGTAAAGAAAATCTGTATGGACTCATAAGAAAATAGTAACAATGGTTAGATGGAGGGTGGAGGAGGTATGGCGAAGAAACTGGGCAGATGAGGACAGGGTGGGAAGGAAAATTCTAATTCTCTCTTTCTCACTTTCCATGACTTTGAGGAGTAGGTTTTAGAGCAAATATTTATATATAATGTATGCATACATACATACACATATAGTAATAACAAATATGAAACTAAAGTGACAGTAGAAGAAGCCATCAGACCCTGGAGACCATAACTATCCACAGGACACTGTGTATGGCCACCATCTGATGGAGGCTCTAGGTCACTCACTGGAATTTTCATCCACTCTTGCTAGAAGATAATTTATTGGGCATGTTCCTTTCATCTTGACAGAAAAGACAGTGAAATATGTTTCCACTCCTACTGTCTTGCACTCAGATAATCCCAGAGAGCACTTTACAGATTGACAGCCAATAAACCACTTCACCCAGTGGAGAAATAGAGCAAATTCCAAGATGGAATTGGTGACATCCATGCCACAGGGGATGGCCCAGCAAATGCTTCGTGATAAATAAGTTGAAATAGCCCAGCTAGTGAAATCTGCACTGAGAATTTAGCAAAGAAAGAATTTATCAAGTTACTATTGTTCTAGAATGATAGAAAGCAAAATCTTCTAAACTATTGAAATACAAATTCAGGAAGTCTTCCAAGAATAACTCAGATCTTATATATAGAGTCTGGCACATGGCATATGATCAATGTAAAATGAATTTTAAAATAGAAAATTTATTAAACAGAGTGCTGTTACTCAAATAAATTAAATGGATGAATCTGTTTCTGTCATAGCATATATAAAAATATTTTAAACTGGGGAGCCCAGAGAATAATTAAAACTTGGCCAGGTGCAGTGGCTTACGCCTGTAATCCCAGCACTTTGGGAGGCTGGGGTGGATGGATCACCTGAGATCAGGAGTTTGAGACCAGACTGGTCAATATGGTGAAACCCCATTTCTACTAAAAATACAAAAAGTTAGCCAGTTGTGGTGACGGGTGCCTGTAATCCCAGCTACTAGGGAGGCTGAGGCAGGAGAATCGCTTGAACCCAGGAGGAGGAGGTTGCAGTGAGCCAAGATTATGCTACTGTACTCCAGCCTGGACGACAGAGTGAGAATCTGTCTAAAAAAAAAATACTGTGGCAGATGATATTTTTGTATATATGTGTATTTTAATAATTTTGTCCTTTTTTGGTCTATAGTTTAATTTTTTTCTGGGATTGCCACTGTGTCTTTGGAGTTATTAGTTTCCTTTTTTAAAAAAAATTCTCAAATGTCAAGCCATTCTATTTACACCTTTGCAGAGATCTGATGCAAATTTCAACATTTTTGGTAGGCTAAATATTGTTGTTTTAATTCTGTATGCCACAGCTCAGAGTCACATTGTCAAAGTATAATATTCACTTTAAAAAAACTTTAGCATAAATACCTCAGACTAAATATATTTATATCCAGGGAAAATGTTCAAACTGTTAAGCTAAGAGCATACAGTTAAGCATTCATACAGACTTATATGAACATAGACATGAAAGGAATCTATATTAAATAGTACAAGAGGAATGTAACAGCTTAGAATCAAAATATGCCTCTGTTGCCTTTATGTGTTTAAAACTAACATTTTTTAGTAGCTGAAATTGTAGAGAAAATGTTGCCCAGAAGTACCCATTGATTTGAGGGCATTTCACTCATTGTTACAAGGATGTGAAGAGTGAATCTCCTTGGCAATGATATCATTTTGGAGACAGAGTAGGGAAAATAGGTTACAAAACAGTGCATAGAGAATGGTTCCATTTCAGTAAGGATCATCTTCTACGCTTCATCATAATTCTCAATTTCTCAAGAGTTCTGCAACCTGAGATGAATACAGTAGTCCCCTCTTATCCATGGGGTATACTTTCTGAGACCCCCCTCTTATCCAAGGGGGATACTTTCTGAGAATCCCCTCCCCTTATCCATGGGGGATACTTTCTGAGATTCCCACCCCCCCCCACCAGTGGATGCCTGAAACTGCGATAGTACCAAACTCTGTATATACTATGTTTTTCCCTATACATACATATCTATGATAAAGTTTAATTTATAAACTAGGCACAGTAATAGAGTAACACAATAATAAAATAGAACAATTATAACAATACGCCAGCGTCGCTTCTCTTCTGCTTTGGGGCCACTATTCATTCAAGTAAGGGTGACTTGAACCCAAGCACCATAATACCACTGCAGTCGAGCTGTTAACCAAGACGAAGTGACTAACGGGCAGGCCGCGTGGCTGATTCACATCCCAGGTGGGACGGAGCAGGATGTGTAAGATTTCATTACGCTACTCAAAACGGCATGCAACTTAACACTTACAAAATATTTATTTCTGGAATTTTCCATTTAATATTTTCAGACTGCAGTTGACAGCAGATAACTGAAAGCTCGGAAAGCGAAACCGTGGATAAGCAGGGGAACTGTGGCATCCCATTTAAAATTGCTTCTGTAAGTTTATGTTTGAAGTATTTTGTTCCTTGAAAAGATGCTTGCTTTTTGCCTTTTCTTATTGTTCTTACTAACTGCGTTACTTAATTTTTCAAACATTGTTGGCCCTCAGCACTACTTCACTGAAGTTTTAGGAAGCTAAATGTTATGTTCCCATAAAGATCAAAAGTGTCGCCGGGTGCGATGACTCACGCCTGTAATCCCAGCACTTTTGGAGGCCGAGGTGGGCAGATCACGAGGTCAGGAGATCAAGATCATCCTGGCTAACACGGTGAAACCCCGTCTCTACTAAAAATACAAAAAGTTAGCCAGACGTGGTGGCAGGCACCTGCAGTCCCAGCTACTCGGCAGGCTGAAGCAGGAGAATGGCTTGAACCTGGGAGGCAGAGCTTGCAGTGAGCCAAGATTGCGCCACTGCACTCCAGCCTGGGCGACAGAGCGAGACTCTGTTTCAAATAAATAAATAAATAAATAAATAAATAAATAAATAAGAGACCAAAAGTGTCACACTTTTAAAGCAGTTGTTAGAAAAGCTGGACTGATGTGTCCTGACCACCTGGGAACAGCTGGCAGCCCAATTATTTGATATTCTTCCAATTAATTCAGACTCTTATGGGCACAGTGCTGCCTTCACCTTGGGCCTTCCTTTTAGCTTTTGAAGGCACAGAGGGCCACTGTCCTGGCAGCCACCTACCAGCAGGGTGCCCTCATGCCTCACCTCATGGCTGTGCTTCTTGGTTCCTGCTCTCTGGCCACTCGGCCCTCCTCAAGTTCTTGAACAATCCAGGCTCCCATCTGCCATTAGGTCTTTGCAAATAGTGTTCCCTTGCCTGGAATGCTTTCTTCACCTAGTTAGTCCTCCTTTTTGGTCATCTCTTCCTTAGGGAAGCCTGCCCTGATAATCCAGAAGAGGCACACCCTTTCATTTCATGCCCTTACAACACCCTTTATTTACATGTTCATTGTTAGTGACTGTCTTCCTTTTTAAACTGTATGCTTTTTAAGGTAGAACCCTTTCTGTTTTTGCTCATCATGACATTCTGGTTCTTAGTGGATTTTTGTAATTATTGCTGTATGAATGAATGTATTATTTTAATAATTTATTCATTGCCAGAGGTCAGTAAAATGCAAACCCTATATACCCAGTCTTGTTGCAGTTTGCTGAGCGGGTGGAGCGTTACCTTGGGAGGCCCTGATCCCTCCCTGGGCGGACATTCTCCCACAGCCAAACTCTCAAGAAATGTATGGGCTAATGTAGGATATTTTACAGCGAGAGCTGTGACTATCAGTAGCTTCTTCAGTGACCATGAACATTAGAGGTGGGGCTTGAGGCTGGATGTATCTGTTGCCACTGCAGGGCTGCACATCCGGGGTTCAGATGCTGTGGTAATGAGCTAGGTCCTGTGTCAGCTACCTCCTCTGCGTGGTCCTTTCAGACTCATCTTGGGGCCTTGGCTCATTGTTGTAGCCCACACCTCTGTGGGCTCTGCTGCATCCTGCAGTGACTGTGAGGGCCTTGCCCTGCTGCTGCTGGTGCTTCTCACCACTTTTGGACTCAGACAAAGCCCCTGATGCAGGGCTTGGGATCTGGCTCTCTAGCAGCTGGTGAGGGAGTGCATATCATCCTTTACACACTGGAAGTGCAGGAGAATTAACTTCCATGGAGGCAAATTTTGACCACTGGGATCCAGGAGATGAAGGAGAACCAGCAGATCAATGATATTTTTGTCCTTTGCTTAGATGGATGGAGATGCAGAAGTTCAGCCCTACGAGGTCCATGATTAATTAGCTGAGCAGAGGCCAGCTCAGTAGCGCACCTCCTGTTTGCTCTCCCTCTTTCTTTGCTGCACACCCCTTTCTCCCTCACTTTTGCTTCCCTGGGATTGCATTCCCAATAAAGTGTTCATACATAAACCTTTGCCTCAAGCTCTGTTTCCTGGGAAGCCCAGGCTGGGCTGGGCCCTTCCCCACTGCCAGTCCTGGACACACACTGCAAATGTTCCCTCCTAGAATTCTCGTGACTGTTGTCCGGGCTCCACTACTGCACTGCACCCCCACAAGCCAGGCATTCTTTCTTTACACAGAGCAATTGATTAGATTGAACCTTTCTTCACTGTGACCACAATTCTGTCCCAATTCCCTGAGGCCTACATTAGCCTGTTCCACATAATTCCTCATGTTTTATTTTTTCAGGTAACTGATATTAGACTTTACAGATGATTTTTAAATTTATTTTTTACTTTTATTGAAATTACAAAGTTTAAAGAGTCAAGTAATTCTATAAGGCTTGGTACAGAAGTCTACACTCCCTGACATCCATTTGTATTACCCATTTATAGGAGGCAACCACTTTTAACTGATTACTTAGGTATTTATGTTTATCTCTCCAAATAACAAATATTGCTGTATCTTCATCCTTTCGTTTTAGGCATGACCTGTTGATTTTTCTCAATGAAAGATGAAGATTTAGCTCATTTTAACAAACCTTATATCCACCTCTACTTCACACGCATACTTCTTGTCCCCTCTCTTCCTAATGCTGTTGTAGCACGATTTAGTTTAAAACTCAGTGTTTACTTTGTTATAAATATATAAGGCTGTTCATAGTTGAGCCACGTGGTAAACCATGATTATTTTCCAGTTTCTGTTCAACTTTTGCTTTCTCTGAAATCAGTAATTGTCTTTTTTCCCTTTACTTAGTACTGTGGTCTGAATGTTTGTGCACCCACCGTGGCCCCCATCATTCATACGTTGAAATCCAAAGCTCCAAGGTGATGGTATTAGGAGGTGGAGCCTTTGGGAGATGATTAGGTCATGAGGGTGGAGACTTCACTAATTGGATCAATGCTCTTATAAAAGAGGTTTGCGTTGCCTCCTTGGTGCAGTCAGCAGCATGTCAGTCTCATAAGACGCTTGAGGGAAACTGTTTGCTCTTTCCTTTCCACATGTAGGACACAGCATGAAGATGCCATCTATGGGCTGGGTGCGGTGGCTCATGCCTGTAATCCTAGAACTTTGGGAGGCCGAGGCAGGCAGATCATTTGAGGTTGGGAATTCAAGACCAGCCTGACCAACATGGTGAAACCCCGTCTCTACTAAAAATACAAAAATTAGCCGGGCGTGGTGGTGGGCACCTGTAATCCCAGCTACTCGGGAGGCTGAGGCAGGAGAATCATTTGAACCCAGGAGGCAGAGGTTGCAGTGAGCCGAGATTGCACCATTGCACTCCAGCCTGGGCAACAGAGTGAGACTCCGTCTCAAAAAAAAAAAAAAAAAAAAAAAAAAGAATGTGCCATCTATAAACCAGAAAGCGGGCCCTCGCCAGATACCAAACCTGTTGGCGCCTTGGTCTTGGACTTCCTAGCCTCCAGAACTGTGACAAATAAATTTCTGAGTTTTTGTGTTTTTGTTTTGGGACAGGGTCTGGCTATGTCACCCAGACTGGGAGTGTAGTGGCACGATCATGGCTCACTGCAGCCTCGACCTCCTGCACCCAAGCGACCCTCCTGCCTTAGCTGCCCCCACAACCACACCCCTGTAGCTGGGACTATAGGCACATGCCACCAGCCTGGCTAACTTTTTTTATCTTTGGTAGAGAAAAAGTCTCACTATGTTGCCCAGGCTAGTTTTGAACTCCTGGGCTCAAGTGATTCTCCTGCCTTGGCCTCCCAAAGTGCTGGGATCACAGGTGTGAGCCACTGCTCCTGGCCTTTCTGGTTTTTGTTTTTTTGTTTTATAAACCACCCAGTTTATGGCCTGAATGAATTAAGATATTTGACATTCTCTTTCTTTCTTTCTCACTAATTTATTTCTAAACCTAGCTCAAGATGTATTAATACACATCTCCTTCCCTTACATTTGAACATGTTAGGTGCTCTTCAGTATTGATTTCTTGATAATGCAGCATCTCCCAGAACCTTTGTACCTGCTCAGTGTGACTAGCACACTGCTGAGTGAGGTGCTGGTCCTTCCTCACCATGCTGGGCTGGCCTTCCCTAAACCATCTTCTATGGGTTGATGATGTGATTGGCCCCTTGGTGGGTCTTACTTTTCCTATAGATCTGAAAGCATTGATGAGGTGAGGGAAGTGGGGCATACAGAGAATAGGCATCTCCCTTAAGGTGATTACTTTGTTATTTCAGAGTCTTCAAGTAAGGCAAGAGCAGCCTCATTAGATGGGGGAAAGGAGAGGCTCATGGAATCCTCCCTTATCTCCCCATTCCAATTCCTGGCTCCCACTCATTTCCTTATCAATGCCCTACATTTCACATAAGGGATTTGATGATCTGTGGATTTAATGGATTTTACAATTTGACAACCCACAGGATTCAGTCTGAGTTTTGGCAACCTTAGTACTGTGGCTGCACAAGATAAAGGTTTTTTTTTTTTTTCTTTTGATTTGTTTTGCTTTGTTTTTGAGACGGAGTCTCGCTGTGTCACCCAGGCTGGAGTACAGTGGCACGATCTTGGCTCACTGCAACCTTCACCTCCCTGGTTCAAGGAATTCCCCTGCCTCAGCCTCCCAAGTAGCTGGGATTACAGGCACATGCCACCACTCCTGGCTAATTTTTTTGTATTTTTAGTAGAGACAGGGTTTCACCATGTTGGCCAGACTGGTCTCAAACTCCTGACCTCAGGCAATCTGCCCGCCTCGGCCTCCCAATGTGCTGGGATTACAGGCGTGAGCCACCGCGCCCGGCTGATAAAGATTCTTTTAGCCCCATCATAGACAGTATCTTGTTGCACAAACTTACCTTAAACCAAAAATGTAGAATTTGAGCTGCTTGTTCTTTTTCATTAAGCTGTCCTGTGTCAGCTCACTGCAGCCTCCACCTCCCAGTTCAAGCAATTCTCCTGCCTCAGCCTCCTGAGTAGCTGGGATTACAGGCGCCTGCCACCACACTCAGCTAATTTTTGTATTTTTACTAGAGATGGGGTTTCTCCATGTTGGCCAGGCTGGTCTTGAATTCCTGACCTCATGATCCACCCGCCTCAGCCTCCCAAAGTGCTGGGATTACAGGCATGCACCACCATGCCTGGCTAATTTTTGTTTTAGTAGAGATGGGGTTTCTCCATGTTGGCCTCAAACTCCGGGCCTCAGGTGATCTGCCTCCCAAAGTGCTGGGATTATAGGTGTGAGCCACTGCACCTGGCCTGGATAGGTAGATATGTGATAAACCCAATATAGTAAAATTTTGATGGTAGAATCTAGATGGTGAATATTTAGGTGTTCATTGTAGAATTCTTTCAACTTTTCTGTACGCTTGAAAAGTTTTATAATAAAAATGTTATACACAGAGAGAGAGAGAGAGAGAGGGAGAGAGAGAGAGAAAGAGAGAGAGAGAGAGAGAGATGAGGAAACTAGATACATGGAAAGCAGATATCTAGACTTCTGATCCAGGAAGAGAAGTAGACCAATTCTCCCAACAACCACCACAACAAAACACTAAAAATGAAGAATAAAATATTTTGAACGACATATTCTTAAATGTATCAAAAAGATAGCGAAAGTATGAAATTATCAAGCCAAAGTTGGAATGAAGTCTGCGAGGCAGAGAGATAAGTGGAGGGCTTCAATCATTTTAGTCCTGAGCATGTGGCAAGCCTTACAAAAGTGAAGTTTGGTTTTCATGGCCTCGAAGGGTTCAGGGACCCATAAAGCAGCATCTCCAAGGGCTGCAACCTCAACATAAGATTCAACCACATGGAGAAACGCTATTCCTACTAGTACTCCTGGAGGACCAAGGAAAACTTTGAGGAAAGTTGCCATGGTGCAGAGCAGATCACAGGAGTTGACAGGGATGCTGAGAAGTGGCAACCACAAGCTGGCCTTCATATGACTGTGTTGTTCAAATTCATGTTATTTGGGTGGTCCATAAAACCTCAAGGTATGGCCCCAGACTGGTGCCTGGCAGAGGTGAAAGCAAAGGCTCTCTATAGAACATATTTCATCCTGGACCTCAAAGAATTACCACAAGTAATTTTGCAAGGAAAATAAGCAGCTAACAATAAACAAACCAACAAACCACTAGTTGCACAAGGAAACCAAGCACCAAGAGTGACGATCATCAGGGGAAAAATCCTAGAAAGCAGAAACAGAGCCATAAAAACTTCATTGCACTTACCAGACACAAAATGGAAACTATGATTTTTATGTTTAAAGAAATAAATTTGAAATTATATGCAATAAACAAGAAAATACAGAGAAGTGCCCATCATATTTGAGGGAGAACTAAAAGCCTTTGGATATAAGAATATAATAATTGAAACCCAAATCTTAACAAACAAGTCTCAAAGCAGATTTGACACCGTTGAAAAGATAGTGAATACAGAAATGGGCTAGAAGAGATAGTCCAGAATGCTGCACAGAGGGATGATGGGATGGAACTAGGAGTGGTAGATAAAGAGGCAAGAAGGATAAAGCGAGAGGAAAGAGAATGGAGCAGAGATAATATTTAAAGAGATGAAGAGAACTGATGAAAGACCTCAAACCACAGACGTACAGCAAATTGCAAGCAGAAAAGGTAAGCATAAATGCCATATAACTCTTCAGAGGAAAACTGCAGCACACAAAAACAAAGAGAAAATCTTCACAGAAACCTAAGAGAAAAGACAGGATCCCTTTAAAGGAGTGACAAATGGGCTGACTGCTGACTTCTTTATAGTAACAACAGGAACAAGAGGAAAATGAAATGTTATATTCATCCACTGAAAGTAACTGCTGATGTAGAATTCTGTACCAGCAAAGAGTCAAGAATACGGGCAATTAAAGACAGCTTCAGATAAAACAAAATGGAAACATTTGCCATCAGCAGATTCTTACTGAAGGAAATTCTAAAGGATGTACTAGGCACAAGGAAAATGATGCCAGGAGAAAATATCTGAGATGCAAGAAGCAATTAAGAGCCAAGAAGGTGGCAAGTATAGGGGCAAATCTAGACTGGCATTCATTAAAGAAAACAGCAAAAACAATGATTTATGTGGTTAAAATATAAAATTAAAATACATTAAAAGATAGTGACTAGTGACTAACTCTAGATTGTGATATGTTAAATAAGTAAGATATTGTATAAGTCTTTTTTTTTTTTTTTTTTTGAGACAGGGTCTCACTCTTGCTCAGGCTAGATAGAGTACAGTGGTACAACCACAGCTCACTGCAGCCTTGACCTCCTGGGCTCAAGCAATCCTCCCACTTCAGCCTCCCAAGTAGCTGGAACTATGGGTGTGCACCACCACACCCAGCTAAAATTTTTTTTGTAGACATGGGGGTCTCTCTGTGTTGCTCAGGCTGGTCTTGAACCCCTGGGCTCAAGCAATTCTCCCACCTCGGCCTCCCAAAGTGCTGGGATTACAGGCATGAGCCACTGTGCCTGGCTATTGTAAGGCTTAAAGTTTTAAAGTATCTGTTATCTGCATAAAGAATAAAAGTGAATAATGGAGGGGAAGAATGGAATGTGAAAACAAAGAAGAGAAAGGAGAGAAAAGTATAAAAAGGTGGACAAAAGAAAACACAAAAGATGATAGAAATAAATCCAATTATTTCATTAATAACAATAAATGTAAATAAAATAAATGTTCCAGTAAAATGATAAAGATTGTGTTAGAACGGATTTTTAACATTCAGCTGTATGATGTTTACAAATGACACATCCAAAGCACATGGATATAGAAAGATTATAATAAAAGGATGGAAAAAGATATGTTGTGTAAATACTAATCAAAATAGACTTTAAGATAAGAAAGTATTACTAAAGATAAAAAAGGATCAGTGCATAATGATAGAATGTTCAGTTTCATCAGAAAAAGATAAGTAATTCTAACATTTTAGGTCAGATAATTCCATTTTGGGCAAGGATGTGGGAATATACACTGTTGCTGGGAGTGTCCAGTCTGTGGTCATTTTAGAGAGAATCTAGCAACGAAATGAGAACGTAACCAACCACCTTCAGATGTCATATATATGATAGATACCATGAGATTCTAGCTCCACCCATAAAGGGCCATGTGAGTGTTCACTGCAGCAGGCAGTGAAAGCAGCAAAGGCTTCCTTCAGAGGGGCTGGAGAAGTGAAATGTGCTGAAAACATAATGTAGAATGTAATGCTGTAGCCAGAAACAATGAACCAAATGTAAACACAGCAACATCAATACAACCTGGAAAAATAAAACAGTGTGTGCTCAATACCATTTAAGTGAAACATAAAAAATAATATGATGTACATCCATGTTTAAGGGCATGTATTTATTAGACTTGGTTCCTCTGGGAGAGAGGGGAATGTGAGTGAGGGTGGGGACACAAAGGAGAAAAGTTACATAAAAGAAGAAAGGGCTTTGTATGGACATGAATATGATTAACCAGCTCCATGCATCCACCCCATCCCTGACTCCAGCCCAAATAAAGGTTTGCCTCTTGCTTAAATCCAGCCAGACTTAAGGATTTGAAGCGTACAAGTTTAGAGCTCAAGGCAGCTATAGTCTGAATATTTTCTCAGTGGAGGGTGTGGCAACTGGTAGTTGTCTCTTAACACTTACCCTCCTCTTATTCCTTAATAATGCATTCCCCAGCCTCCTTAGTGGGTGGGTATATCTACATACATAATTAATTTCTGGCCAGCGTTATATGGAACTTCTAGGAAGAATAGTTAAAAGGGAGGGGGCATATGTCATTTTGTCCTCTTCTATTTTTGGCTTGGAATGTGGACATGATAGCTAGTTCCCTGGTAGTCATCTCAGACCATGAGGCAACCTTGAGGGTGCTGAGAAAGACAGGAGCTGGATTCCTGATGCCCATGGAGCTGCTGTACCAGAGCTTCTGCTTCTTTTTTTGGGAGAGAGGAACACACTTTTATCATGTTTAAGGCCTTATTAATTCGGAGTTTTCTATTATATGGAGCCAAATATTCTCCTGATAAGGTGGGTTCAGAGTAGATGTGGAATTGGAGATAATTTCATTTTTTCCTAATCAGTCATCTTCTAGAAGAAACATTTCCTGGAGATTCTTTTTTAAATGCCAACTTTTTAAAATACCAATTGGTTGTCTTCAAAGGATAGTAGTTATCCCTTTATTGAGGTTTAATTTTTAGGATTAAAAAACTGATTTAAAATAAAATATAAAATAATTTGGACTTTGAAGCAAAGCAGAGATTTGGCAGCAGGCAGCCTTAGATTTCAGCTCAGGGATGGCAATATCTCATTATACACACTTTAGTTGCATGTATACATAGAGTGAACGGACATGATCTTAGGGACAGGTGGCTTTGCTGATGGATAGCTGCCAGTCGGTCTGATAGTGCAGCCTGAGCTCTAAGTAATTCTTACATCAATTCTGTTACTAAACAGTAACCTGAGGACCAGACAGACTTTAAGGATGAGAGGTAATCTGGTGAGCTGTAAAACTCCTGATTGAATAGGAAGCAGACTTCACTAATTAGTGATTTTTCTTCCTCTTAAATTTGTATCTTTTGATTCTTTTGAGTTTGTCGAGTCCATTTCCTGGCTTAGGAAAACAGGTTGGGCAACCTCAGAGAAACCTATTTAATTAGCATTAGTAATGGTGGCAGGTTTGTTAAGCCAGGAAGCACTGGAATTAAAATGCTTGAAATTACTCACTGGACCATTGTCATAAGTGTCAGGCTCATCAATGCTCTTTGCTGCAACAAATCTCTTTCCAGACCTACAATGTGGCATCTCTTTTGGCTTAGCAATTTATAGTCTCCCAGATATAATTTTATTTACAAGTAATCTGCATATGTTTCATTGTTACAAAATACATGCTCACTGTAGAAAACGAATATTCAAATAAAAACAAAATAAAACAAAGCAAAAGCCTGACAATCTCACTTACCTAAAGACAATCATTCTTAACCCATTGGTGTATATTTTTTCATAACTCTTTTATACTGTGTGGTGTCTATGTGTATGAATTTTAACCATCAGGCAATAGAAGAAATTTTAATAAATCTAAAAGCAGTAACGAAATAGAAAGCAAAACCCAGTAGACTTGATTGGTACAGCCAAAGGCTTACTCTTGAAAAACACCAAGAAAATACATAGATCTTTATTGGTCTTGTCAGAGGCGTTTGAACCAGAGCAACTCCATCTTGAATAGGGGCTGGGTAAAATAAGGCTGAGAGCTACTGCGCTGCATTCCCAGGAGGTTAGGCATCCTGTCACAGGATGAGACAGGGGGTTGGCACAAGATACAGGTCATAAAAACCTTGTTAAAACAGGCTGTTATAAAGAAGCCAGCCAAAACCCACCAAAACCAACATGGCTACAAGAGTAACTTCTGGTTCCCCTCACTGCTCATTATGTGCTAATTATAATGCATTATCATGTTAAAAGACACTCCCACCGGTGTCTTGACAGTTTGCAGATGCCATGGCAACGTCAGGAAGTTACCGTAGTATATGGTCTAGAAAGGGGAGGAACCCTCAGTTCCGGGAATTGTCCACTCCTTTCCCTGAAAACTCATGCATAATCCACCCCTCGTTTAGCATATAATCAAGAAGTAACAATAAAAATGGGCAACCAGCAGCCCTGGTCCTGTTCTGTCTATGGAATAGCCATTCTTTTATTCCTTTACTTTCTTAATAAACTTGCTTTCAGTTTAGGGACTAGCCTCGAATTCTTGATAGCCCAAGATCCAAGAACTTGCTCTTGGTGTCTGGATTGGAACCCCTATCTGGTAACAGTCTTGTCTAGGGAAAAAAAAACACATAAATGAACAGCATGTGGAATATGAACAAGAACATAACTATTAATAGACAGATGAAGGAGAGTGAAAACCTAAGAGAATACAATATTTGTAAATGTGTAAGAATGTTATCAAAATGCTTCTGGAAAAATGCTTAGTAACTGGCAGGCACATGTGAAAGAAGTCTACTGATAATAAGGAATCCATACCATTTAATTTGGGCACATTTATCTCAAGATCAAGAACCTAGGTGTAGCCCTGGGCCAGGGGAGTCAGGGTGATGCAGAGAGGAGGTGGTACCTCTTGTGTGGAGGCCAAGGACTGCAGACAGTTCAGCCACATCAGGTGGGTTGTTCATGTGAATTAGATGGACCTTGATGTTCTCTTTAATGCTCATGTTGTATTACATTGAAACCCTAGCTTCAACACTTTAAAAAGTTCTTATTAGCAAGTAAATTACAGATTGAACTTCTGAATTGTTTGCAGCCATTTTTTATTCCAAACATGTATGTTTTTGTAAACCTGACATTTCCCAAACAGTGCAAGTGAATCAGAAGTGACTGCTTAGACTTTAATACACGTGACATTGTGAGGCAGCACAACCTCCCCCCACCCACCAAAATTCCTCAGTGGAAATGTACATGGATGCATCAGTAAAGTTCTGGAAATGCAGATAGCGTGGGTGCCTGCCAAGCAATTAATCACTCGTAAAGCTTTTAAACTCACTCTGCCAGTCACACCGTGCACATTAGAATTAAAACAACAACATCAACAAAGAAAAAACCTTAACACAGTCTGAAATCTAGATCATTGTGCTATAAAGCATTGCACGATGTTGGGAAATTTGTTCACTTATTCCCCCCATGTGCTGAAAATTCAGAAGACATCCTAGAAGTTTCATTTTGGCCCTACTGGCTCTGTATTCTCCCTTCAGCCACTCTTTGAATATTCTCCACTGTGTATATTATTATTCTATATATCAAAATATCAGCTAAAAGTGTGCATACTAAAGCATTTCTGAAATGATGCTCACTTTCTGCCTTTTGTCTACTAAAGGCTCCAAGTGACAATCCTTTCCAGCACCTCTAAATTTTGAGAAGTTTGAGCCAAGTATACAGTTCACCAGATGTACGTTTCACACGTAACCCAGACATAACTGCATGCACCTGGCCATAATGCCTTACCCAAAAATAAAAGTCATAAATAACCTTTTAAAAAGCCACCATGCTAGGGTTCAACAGGTAGCATACAGCACACGGATCGTCTGGGGATCTGCTATGCTTCCGCATGGAAAACAGGATGTTCCCAGGAGTGCTGTTGGGTTTTTGTTTTAAACCTCATTGCCTTTGGCTCAAGGGCAGTAGCTACATGATTTGGTGAAGGAGGACTTCCTAGTGGATCTTCTACAAGGTCTACCATACCTCTGAGTACCCATGATGCTGACAGTTTTCCTAAAGAACTGCCTGAGGAAACCTCAGTGCTGAGTTATTCGGAATGGATGCCTGTCAGTTGCCACTAAGCCAGTGGACCCTGCCCCTCCTGCTAGTGTCCCCTTGTTTCTAAACATCATGGCCTCTTCTTTGTGACAGCTCTATGGCCCACTTGGAGGATGTTCCAAACTCTCCTGAGTCCTATGTAAATTAAGCATAAGCAAAACTTTTTTTAAAAAAGGGGCACTGTTTTACTCCATTTTTACAAAGGTCCTTTTTCATATTTAAAAACCATTTCAGTTCTCTGAACAGTTGGTTAAAACCACATTGAAGATTCAACTAAAAGCTGAAGGAAACTGAAATAATACTGCTCAGGAGAATATCTTATAGGATTCCACAGTGAAACCATGGAAGCAGGAAGGGGAGAAAGTAGAACATACTGTAGAATTTTCAAATAATATTCTGGAAGGGTAACACAGATGTACTGATCCACCCCATCTGCTTCCCCTGAGAGCATAGAGAGGGCTTCTGAGCTGGGAAGGAGCTTGTGAACTGCCCAAGTTGAGAGAGCGCTAACGATATGCTTGACTTCTCTATCACTGCACAAAATGCTTAACTCCCCAGTCCCCGTAGCCCACCTGCTACTCAGCACGATCAGACCAGCAGAGGCATCATCCTTCCCCAGACAGGTTCCTGGGGAGGCTTTCAGTATCTGCTGGTGGTGATGCCAAGGCTGGTTTTCTTAAAACCTGCCTTTATAAAGTCTTAGTGACCTCCTGGGTATACAGCTGCTCATGTGGGTCCACCCACGCAGAATCAAGCAGAAGCAAATAGGTCCCAGCTCTGAGACTGCCCACAGGAGTCTACCCTTCTCCAGTGGGGCTTTGCTGGTGGGCAGAACATGGGCCTGCGAATCACCCTTCTACACTGTCACCAACGCACCTACACCCCGGCAGGAGGCAAGTTAGTTGCTCTAAGTGCATGTGGCCAAAGCTGTTGATGGTGCTGTTCCAGAAATATCACCTAAGAATCCTAAATGATTCATTAAAGAAAACATGGCATTATGAACAAGAGTCCATCAAAGGAAAGCTGCAAATGGCATCCCATTCAAAAAGTCCACATGCCACTGCATTTTGCCACCCTGAGGCAAAATGTCCCTGAAGTGTTCTCTGGGGAACCTCCAGCACCTTGCACAGTGCCTGACACACAGCAGGGGCCTCATAAATGGCTGTTAATAAGTGATAAAACCCACCCAAGACTGCTTTTCTTGCTGCTTTTGATAAAACTCATAAGCGAACTCTGAGTGACAGCTGCTTTCTTTGCCTCGTCCTGCTCCCTGTAGCTACCTCTGTGCCTCCATCCCACAGTTAGATGCAACATCCCTGATTTCCAGGATCAGCTTAGTTCATGCCATTGACCCTTGATTTTTTTGGTCTATTCCCATGTTCACCAGGAAGAGAAGCATGAGGTTACATCTGTAATCTCCCTGCAGCAGAGTCAACTGCATAAGAAACCAAAAGACACACCTGCTCCATGCCAGGTTAGTACCCACCCATCACCCTCATAATTTTGCCAAAACTTTAGATATGTTTGTGAGTATTAGCCAAGTATGTGTATTAAAAATCTGTCTTCCCAGAAGTTGAGTTTGATGTCTTTTTGACAATGTTCACGGACTCCCAACGTGTTAGCTTCCAGTAAAAAAGGTGCTATAAGAAAGACCCTTGGTTTTATAGATTGTTTCATCCGCACTGGATGCCATGTGTATGTAGCTGGCACTTTGGCAGGCTGTAATAAGCCATTAAGACTCCGTTAGACCCTGCTCTTAGCCCCATGTTTTCTGTCTTATTAGATGGTTATCCATCAGTAGGAATAGCAGCCATAGCTGTTAACAGTTATTGAGTGATCACTATGGGCCAGGTCAGTGCTGAGCATGCTACATCCATCATCTCATTGCCCTTTCAGAAAATCACACTGCACTCAAAACTAAGCAGCACAGTGCATCTGACAATATATCTACTGTCAAACAGAGAGCTTGGATACTGAAGGCCGTAACTCAGCACTCACACATTCAGGGGGTGGGGAGGGGCAGTGTTCTGCTCAGATCCTTTGCATCATTTCTTTTGCATCATTTCCCTGTGTCTCCCCTGGCTGAGGATGCATCTGTGGTTGTCCTTTAGAGGACTGTCCTGAGCTACTGGAGCCATTACGCCAGCAGGAATTGAGAATAAAACGTTTACATCTCCTCTGGGTGCAGCCAGCCCCTTGATTCAGGTTGGGACACCTCTGAGGCCTAACTTTTCCTCCGGAGTTCCCCTGATCAGGCTGAGGCTAAACTTCATGGAGCTCTCCCTGAAATGACAAACATTTGCCTGGCTTTGTCTCCTTCCTTGTCCTGCTTCCCCCACTCTCTTACTGGTATCCCCTGGGAATACTTCCTTAATAAGTTACTTGCACACAAATCCTTGTTTCAGGGACTGCTTCTTGGGAACCCAATCTAAGACATTTTTTTTAAAACGGTTAAATGTCCTCTCTGGGAAGGAATCTGCAATCACCACTAGCTGGGACAGCCAGGGTGGTAGGGGAAATGAAGATCTCTCAATGAAAATTACCACAAAAAGGCAATCCCTCACAGCATTCAGACCCAATTCTTTGCTTAGGGGACAAGGATTTAGTCCTTGTGGTGTGTGAACTCTGATGCAGGATGTCCAGGATGAGACGCCATTCTGAGGTTTACCAGATGACCACATGGCATTGCTCCAAGCTTTCATCCATCATCTGTGTAGAAGCAGGGTGACATGTCTGCTATATAAAGGTGATACAGAGCAGACTTCTTGCTAGGGATCAGGTTTTCCATCCAAATTCTTGTTGGGAATCTTCCAATGAAAAGTACATATGAAAAAACACTTACAGTTCTTTAGCACACATTAGCATGTGACTCCACACTTGATCGAGGCGATAAAGATGTGAAATGTCTTCGGGGTCTTGCCACACCCACAGTTTATATGCACCACTGCCAGCCTGGTGGATTCATTACATGAGGTTTCTTCAACTTATTTCATCTGTCTTTTTAAACAGCAAGTTCCAAAGTACGGTAAGATTTTCATCCTTTAAAATTTGTATTCATGGACATGTACTTCCAAGATTTTAGGCCAGATATCAGTGCTTGAGTGAATTATATAACTATTTAATAGAAATAATAAAACATCGATACAAATATAAAAGACATAATCAGTATAAAAGGCTTATATTTATAAAAATACTTTAGGTAACAGTTTTCCCCTGAGGGTTGACCATGCGTGTTGCATCCATAAATATTGCTCGGCTCTGTAGCTCACTCTCCAAAGTTCAGAGTTCATCTTTAAAGGAAGTGGTGCTGGCCCCGGTCGTGTGACCTGGCCGAAGTGGCTGCCTCAGGCTGGCACCTGGGCTTGATAGAATGAAGAAGAGAACAGCATCAGTGGGGCCTCCGAAAAATCTGGAGAAGATTTTTTTCTTCCAAATATGGAAGATACAAAGACCAAGGATGACAGGCTAGTGATCAGGTCATGTGACTGGTGTGGCAGCTCACTGGTTTTTCTGGACCCAGTCCCAACTGTCTTCATTCTCTTTCCGGTTCTTCTCAGCTTCGATAATTTCTTTGTACCTTCGGCGAAAGAAGCCCATCTGAAAGGCAGAAAGAAAGAGAAGCTGAGTTAGAAGTGCTGAAGAATCAGCCATTGTGACCCCAAGGCAGTCTGTCCCTGGGTAGGTGTGACCTGCACTCACAGGGCTGGGGAGGCTTGGAGGACCCCTCGGATTAGAGAAAACACTGGCAAGAAAAACATCCTGTGGAGACATTTTTCAAAATGCATGGACTTCCTGCGGGTGATATTACGTAAGCTGTTTGTTCCTTCTAAAATGCATCTGGTGTAGTGTTTTCCAGACTGTGTGCTGGGGAATACCAGTTACTGAGAGCTGTTCAAAGGTGTTTGGGAGTAAAAAAAGGTTTCATGGCTGGGCGCAGTGGCTCACGCCTGTAATCCCAGCACTTTGGGAGGCTGAGACAGGCAGATCACTTGAGGTCAGGAGTTTGAGAGCAGCCTGGCCAACATGGTGAAACCCTGTCTCTACTAAAAATACAAAAATTAGCTGGGCATGGTGGTGTGTGCCTGTAATCCCAGCTACTTGGGAGGCTGGGGCACGAGAATCGCTTGAACCTGGGAGGCGGAGGTTGCAGTGAGCCGAGATCGTGCCACCACTGCACTCCAGCCTGGGCGACAGAGTGAGACTCCATCTCAAAAAAAAAAAAAAAAAAAAAAAAAAGGTTTCATGGTCAAATAAGTTTGGGAAGTGTGGCTTTTTTTTTTTTTTTTTTTTTTTTTTAGAGAGTCTTAATGTACAGTGGAAAGTAAAGGATCCATTACCATTAATTCCGGTGGGGAAAAAAACCAGGGACCTGACATTCCCCAAGCTTATTTGGCTTTTGATAAACCTAGTATCTTGAGAGATCTTAGCCATCTGTGGAATAATTTAATAAATACTGCTCTCACGTGAGAGGCTGTTTAAAGCGTCTGCAGGTCTGCATTCTACCTTGCTGTCATTTACATCTTTCTCTCAAACCCATGGAATTTGTGCTGTCTGTGCACCACAGTCAGCAGCACATTCTCACTTAGAACGGGCGTTTCATCCTGACCCAGGATGGCAATTTCCTCTAGCTTAGTTCTGAAAAGACCCTGCCCTTTGATGTTACATTTGGTCTTACAACTTTTCACATATGGTAAGACAAGTGTCTAGTTTTTCTCACATAGTCATCACCACCAAACAGTGAAGCAACGTTTGTAGCCCAAAGCTTACCTTTCCTCCCATGCTCTGAGAGACTCGGCATCTCTCGTCCTTGGCTCACTAACATTGGTGGGCTCTGTTTATGAGGTCAGACATTCCTCTCTGCATCTTCCTTTAAACAAGGCTGACTGTATCGGGTGTACAAATACCCCAGCTCCCTCTCTCCTTGGGTGGGATAACCCTGAGGTGTACGTTCTACCAGTTTCCCCATGGAGCTTGCCTGCAGAGGTAACCAGCTTGATGACAAATCTTTTATTGGCTTCCTTCCCTGCTCTCCAACAGTTTTTCCTGAGATCACCTTCCAAATAAATGACTTGCCCTCAAATCATTGTTTCAATCCCCTTGAATAGAGGAAATCAAACAGAGACACACACTTGACCTGGTGCTGGTAGGCTTGCCACACTGCAGGTTGTGGTACCATGGTATCATCAGCTTGCAATTCCCAAGTCATACTGGAAAACCCTTAAGACTCTCTGCAGTCTGCTGCCAACAGTGCATGCACATATAAGACGTGTCCTACACAAATCGTGAAGCAAACCCAGCTGTCATGGGCACATCAAATGTTTTTGTTGTCTGTGTATTTGTCCTCATGCTTCTTCACTGTGAGCCAAACATCCAGGGAAGCATCACAGCCACCCTGATGGTCATAAGCTCCCCTGAAGAAGGGAAGGCAGGTGGAGCTGAGGAGCTGTCTGTTGCCACCATCTTTCTACTTCCCTAAAGGGGGTTTATTGGCCAAGCCAAAGACGAGAACTGTCAAGAGAGCCAGCAGGTATCTTCACCCACGTTGCCAAGGAGATCCTGAGCATTCACCGTGAGGGGAAGTCGATAAGGTGGTGCAGTTTGAATGACTGGGAAAGAGCAGAAGCTTTCTTAGAACAACTGGCAAGAGTCTTGTGTTCTGAGCTTCAATCCTCAAGGCCAGTTTTGTAAACAGATATTGAGTTCCTGGTGATTTCAGCCCTGGAGGTTTCTTCCCAGCATAAGACCACATTCATCAGAATGCCATGTTCTGACGCCCCCACACATATACTTTTCTCTCCTGAAACCTCTTCACCTTCTCCCCTCTGCAAGAAAAGGTGCTTGGCCAGAATTTTCTGGATAATTAAGAAAAAGTCATAGACATCATCCCCACAGCACACCCACAGAAGGCCAGAAAAACGGACCAAGACTGAATGGAAATCTAAGAAGCTACTGCTTGAAATGTCATTCTTTTGCGATAAAGATGTGGTTGGCTAAGAAAACATGGCCAGATGTGGCTGGTCACATGCCATGAAGGAGAATGTAATCATGAAACTGTGGAAGGATGTAACAGGGAAATAGGATTCTCTAGCACATACCTTTGGCTGCTGATGTTGTAATGTGTCAATAATCCCAGGTCACTCAGTTGTAATTCCAGAGAAGTCACATTTCCCTACCATGGCACTATCAAGCAGAAACTTAACAGTCTGCCCCCTTATTATCTCCTGCATTTGTCTTAGGACTCTTTGAAGGCAGGCTTTGTGCTTTCAATCCCCAGTACTCAGCATCTCACCTGTCCTTGGTACCAGCGATAAATTGCAAAGATGCCCACATACCCTCCACACCCTTTACCATGTGACTCTCCAGCTCTTCCCATCGTGAGGTGGAGTCTATTTTCCCAGCCTTGATTCTCCACTGAGACTAGCTTTGACAATTGGATGAGAGGGAGGAGATGTTGTGTCTGTTACACAGTCCCCAAGGGGCTGTGCACACTTCCAATTACTTTCTCAGAACCCTGCCCTGCTTCCACACAAATGCCTATGTCTAACCTGCTAAGAGACCAGTTTTTTTTGAAGCCCTCCCAGACTAGCCAACTCCCAGCTGCCCGCAGAGGCACATGTAAGTCTCGCTGAGCTCAAACTGCCCCACTGAGCTCAGTCCAAATAGCCAACCCACAGAACTGTGACCTGCATAGATGGATATTGCTTTTAAGCCGCTGAATACTGGGGTGGTTTGTCAAGTAGCATAAGTTAACTGGTACAGACTCAATATTTTTTTTGCTGACTTAATGAATCAGACAGACAGCTGATAGGGCTCTAGATTTAAACAGCATCAGTTAGTGTGCCTTGCTGAACTGGACTTTTCACTTTTTTTTTTTTTTTTGAGACAGAGTCTCACTCTGTCACCCAGGCTGGAGTGCAATGGCGCCATCTCGGCTCACTGCAACCTCTGCCTCCCAGGTTCAAGTGATTCTCCTGCCTCAGCCTCTCGAGTAGCTGGGACTGCAGGCGTGTACCACCCTGCCCAGCTAATTTTCATATTTTTAGTAGAGACGGGGTTTCATCTTGTTGGCCAGGCTGGTCTCAAACTCCTGACATCAAGTGATCCGCCTGCCTTGGCTTCCCAAAGCGCTGGGATTACAGGCGTGAGCCACCGCGCCCGGCCTGAACCAGACTTCTCTTGTTCATCTCTAAGAGCAAAAGCTGGCTCACTTTCTCATCACTATGCTAGTGTAAGGATTTGACATAGACAGTGTGTTAACAATCTGGAAAGGATTTAGAGCACCTGAACTCACTCTTACATGTGGCTTTCATGTGCTCAAGTTTTTATGTATGCAATTCTTGCTAACAACAAGGTGAAGGCACTGTCATCTCTTGCAGGCACCCGGAAGCAAGCTTCTTTCTCTCAGTGGAGTGGTGTCAGCATTAGGCCTGAAAATCACCCCCACCCACCCCTGGCTGAAACAGCCTTGCAAGCTCTATGCCCCACTCTAACACTGCAGGGTCTCCAGTCCTGTTCCTAACACAGCCTATGCGTAATCTCTTGGATGGGAGATCAGAGCTACCACTGATGTATGTCTTCCTTTTTTTAGAGTCTGAAGACCATTTCTTAAAACATAATGCACTCTCATGGCTAGGGAGTTGTAGGTACAGTAGTGCAGGTGCTACACTGCATTTAAGGGGCTGGGGGATACCACTCACATCACAGATATCATGTATGTGTATAAGTTTATTATAACTGTTTTCCAACAGATGGCAGTAGAGTGTCTTGTTCTCATAAAATCAGAGTTTTCTGAATTTTTTCTGACAGATGGAAGTAAAGAGTCTTTAGGAAGCGGTGCTATTTACTATTATAGTTTGCACAAAGGTACCCTATAGTCTAGTGGTGGCTCTGTCAAACTAATATTGTTTCTTTTTTGGGGGGGTGGGGGATGGAGTCTCGCTCTGTTGCCAGGCTGGAGTGCAGTGGCACGATCTTGGCTCACTGCAACCTCCACCTCTCGGGTTCAAGCGATTCTCCTGCCTCAGCCTCCCAAGTAGCTGGAATTACAGGTCTGCACCACCAGGCCTGGCTAATTTTTATATTTTGGTAGAGATGGGGTTTCACCATGTTGGCCAGGCTGATCTTGAACTCCTGACCTCAGATGATCCGCCTGCCTTGGCCTCCCAAAGTGCTGGGATTACAGGTGTGAGCCACCGCGCCCAGCCTGGGAAGGTTATTTTCTGGCTTCGAGCCATAGTGTCTTCGTCTCTGCCTAAGAGATCAATGGGATTCTCAGACCTCTTCCAGCCCTGAAACATCATGACAGCTTTTTCTGTTTTCCCCAAAGTGAATTCAAGGCTCTAGACTGTGGGCCACACAGCTGGGTACTCAGGACTCACACTAAGGGGGAACAAGGCACAGAGTCTTTGTCCCATCTCAATTTTTCTCAAAGATTTTTGAGAAATTTTTTGAAAATTCAATTTTCAATTTTTAAAAATCTGTTAATTTTTGAAAGAAACAAATAAAACAGAATTTAATAATATTTTAAAAGATTATGAGGTCTTTGAATTCACAAAACACATGCAGTTATGTTCACTTATTTAACTTTTATAGTCTTTTGAACTGTGGGATTTTAAGGTCAATTTTACCGATGAGGAAAGTAGGCAAGGCTTGATGGAGTTGAACATGCAGCTCTGGATCAGATGTCTTATAATAAGTGTCAGAATTGAGGACTTGCTAAGTAAGTCTAGGACTCTTAACTCATGTAACATAGAGACTGCCTGATTACCTCATCAAGAACAGAAAAAATATCAGTTCTCTAAAAATAAAAACTCAAAATAAGCAACCCATGAGAACAAGTCACCGAAAGTAATTTGCAAGAACCAGAAAAAAGCATGTTATCTTCTAAATGCCCTAGAGGCACAATATTATTCCCAACAGTTCTCAATAAATGCAAGTCAATAAATAAAGAACAGGTCTTCCTAGCTAACATTTTCTAATAGAATGTCAATCAGGAATGAGGAAGTGAAAAACTAAATTTAGCAAGGTTTTTGTCATCCCCTTAAGTAAAGATAATGACTTCAACTAAAGATAATGGCTAAAGATAAAATATAAAAACTAAAGACTAAAGATAAACACTAAACTAAAGATAGTGACTCTGAATTTGATGATCTAACAAGTACAAATAATCCCCAAGTTACCATACCTCGACTTAACAGTTTTTTGACTTTATGATGGGTTTATTGGGGTATTAAATGCATTTCTGACTTAAAATATGATAAGTCAAGGAGCACCTGTAGTTCCTTTGCTTAAGAGATACATGGTCTAAATCTGTAACTCTTCATACACATGCCAGGAAACCCACGAGCCCCTTCAGCCTGCTATAGTACTTCATAGCCAGTCCTACCTATTCCATTACTGCCAGGACCCAAAGTCCCCCTACACTTGGGAAATTAGCACATCCCAAGGTTAAGTAGGCCTCCTTCAGACATACACACCCGCTCATGTGAGCACGCATGGGTGCCTTGGGGAGAGCTTTGAGAAACACTGGGCAAATCTCTGTTTTTGTTGCCAGCTGAGCCCACCCTGAAGGTGCTGGGAAATGATTAATGATGGGCTAAGCTGGATGCCCAGCAGCCCCACACTCACTTCCAAGCCAATGGAGTCAATGTTTTTCTGCATTTTTTCTGGAACCTTCCAGTGCTTGCTTCACCATTTGAGGGGCAAGCGGCTCTGTTAACTGTTCTATCTGTAGCAGAAGAAACATAGAAACCCTAGAGGAGGTGACTCAAGCCAAGCTTTGCTTGGCTGGAAGCCGAAGGAACAGTGTGCTTTCTGGTTTTTGTGTCTGCTGGTCCTGCAGCTCCAAAGAGCAGCTCCCTGAACCCTCGTAACAGACATACACAATTTTCTCATATAACCATGTATCCAAAAGCAACCAGAAAACTCCTAGGGAAACAACAGATTGCCCCAAACAGCCTTACTTAGATGGGTGCTGCGTGAGGCATGAGGCCTGACTGAGTTCTGGGGTATCCACCCTGCAGCAGCAGCCTCTTCCTCCCCAGCCCCCTGCAGGGTGAGAGGGACCAGCTGGACAACACCATGACATCTGGTCTCTTGGGGGATCCTACCCACTCCGCGGCCTTTGGGTTGCTTCCTAGACAGTGATTCTGAGGACCTGGGACAAATTCCTTTTTTGGACTAACTCAAGACTTCATGTTTATAGTTCTCTTCAGTTACTTGACTATTTACATAGCATGTCTCTGTCTCGAGATGTCGACAGTGCAACATCAGCCCAATATTTACTCCCAAGCATAAACAAGCCCCCACTGAATGTCATTGGCACATGGTTCTAATTGAGGCAGTGTGAAGGGTGTGTGTGCAAGCACATGGGCATGTGTCTGTTCATTTTTTTTCTTTGGAGGAGAAGCAAGGATGCCCTCCCAGCCCAGTTTGAAGGGAAGGTGATAACCCAGTGACCTCTGGAGGGGTTGCCAAACCTTACACATTCTCTGAGCCATTTCACAGATTTGTTTTCTAAGTGTTTCTGCCTTAGGTCAGAAGTAATGCTCTCAAATAAAAACCATGAGCCCAAAGCCAGTCCTAAAGCAGCAGGCTCTTGGAACAGCCCCAGCTGATAGAGGGTTTGAGGCAGCCCTTTTCAGAGGGCTGGCAAACACATTCTGCAGCCTGTCTCTTTGCCACTTGAGCAAGTAGGTCCTGGGCCTCCTGGGAAGACATGGCCATAGGGCTGGCCAAGCAGTCTCACTTCCCTTTGCTCCAAACCATCTCGGTTTGCAAAAGGGTCAAATGGGAGAGAGAGGGTCCTTGGTTGACAGCAGTGAGGGAGGATATGGTCTCTCTCCTTCACTGAGTGGTGGCCTGTATGTTTTGGCAAACTGCAAACAAACAAGGACAGAGCTGGGGAGGGGAGGAGGGTGAGAGGGAAGCAGAGAGAAAGACAGGGAGGGAAGAGCTTGGAGCCCTAAATAAGGGAAGGGGGGTGTCTTTCTTCAAAAGGAGAAACACCCCATCATCTTCATTCTTTCCACAGAAACCAGGCTGGCTTATATAAGCTGAAGGTATTTCTTAAAGGTGCCAGTCACACACAAAGTTGTTATCCCTCCTGCACCTCTGAGCAATTTAACTTTCTCCTCCTAAACAGGCCTTTATGATTGTCTTGAAGAGATGCCAGGCCCAGGCATCTTCCAACCCAGTCAGGAGCTGCAGGAAAGGAGAGGGGACTCATTTGGACTTTTCTTCCTTTAAAAGCATTTCATATTTCAAAGTTTTCTTCCTGCATGGTGGTTTGGCTGGCTACTGTAATCCTCGCACATAAAGTTTAAATTATGGCTCCCAGTGTCTGCTAACATCTCAGCTTTGGGAAAGCTGATTAGGATCCATTTCAGAATTTGAAGAGCGGTCTGGTTAGCTTGGGGCCCTCATTGTGGATTTTGTGTCAGAGCCAGGGCCTGCTGCCGCCAAGCATGAGAAGATGCCTGAGATGCCAGCAGATGGGCTTTCTTGAAGGCCGCCAGGAGCTGCACAGGGTCAGAGGCAGATGAGGGGCTGGTCTGGCTGAGCACATCAGCAGGGAGCCTGGAGCTCAGCTCTGGAAAAGACACTTGCTGACACGATAAGGGCTTTCTGATTTAGGTAAACAGTAGCACCACAGTGCATGCGTAGGTGGGGCCAGGGGCTGGTGGCACAGGCCAAGTCCTGCTCACCTTCAGGGCTTTGCTGAAGCTGATTTTCCTAAAGGTCTTCAAGACTAGGTGAGGGCTCTGTTGTTGAGGCCAGGCATGGTGGCTCACACCTGTAATCCTAGTAGTTTGGGAGGCCAAGGTGGGTGGATCACTTGAGGCCAGGAGCTCAAGACTAGCCTGGCCAATATGGTGAAACCCTGTCTCTACTAAAAATACAAAAATTAGCCAGGCATGGTGGCGCACACCTATAATCCTAGCTACACAGGAGGCTGAGGCAGGAGAATTGCTTGAACCCGGGAGGCGGAGGTTGCAGTGAGCCAAGACTGCACCACTGCACTCCAGCCTGGGTGACAGAGTGAGACTCTGTCAAAAAAAAAAAAGAAACAGACTAGGTGAGGGCTGTTGTTTATTTATCTTTGTCCCTTTGCCCAGGGCCTGCCACCTAGTAGGGACCTACTACTCTTTGCCTAGTGAAGGTGCTGGCCATCTTGCAAGCATAAAGCATGCAGACCTTCAGGCTTGTGTGGTGCTGTGAATGCGGCGGCATGGCCAGCTGCTCTGCTCAGCTTTCAGTACCATGTCACGATTCACGTTTATGCAACACTTTTGGGAACAACCACTTTTGGCTCCGGACCTCAAGGCAGCAGCAAATGACCATAGGTAGCAATGCCAAGAGCTACTCTAGAAGGACATTCAAGAGCCACGGTTCTGTAAAGGGAAGAGGACTTCAACACTGTCCCCGCCAACCGCTGTCTTCAAAGGCCCTCAGTGAAGTGGGCAACCGGTCAGCAGTGGCAGCTGGGTAACACTCAGTGGCTTTCCCCTTGAAAGGAATGGAGGAAATTACATATGGAATATGGCAATAAGCCGGAAACATTAAGACCTCCCGTATAAGTCAAATATGAGGCTGGAGTTTAGACCATCAATTAACAGGTCTTTGGGTTACTGCACCGTACTGTCAGTGTGATACCGAATCACTATTCACTAAACATAATGTATCATTCTTAGGTTGTAGACATGGGAATCAGAGTTAACAAGAGGTCTGTAGTTGAAGTTCTAGAAATACGTAGGTCTTTAAAATAATCCTACATTTCAATTGCCCTTTTAACCTCTTATAAAGTCTTTTGAGACTTTATAAGTCTCAAAAGTCATAGTTAGCCTTTTGAGAAAAAAAAATTTTTTTCCCTAAAGAAATCCCCTCCACCAAGCCCCTTATCACATTACAACACTGCCTCAACAGACTGCACACTCTGACATAAATGCTGCACCAACATTTTCTGTTTGCCTCCTCTTCCCCAAAGGAGTTCAACTGTGATTTTATCTATGACACTATGGGAGAGAGATGAGGTTTCATCTACTTTAAAATAGAACAAAACTTCTAGTTAGGCGAATTTTTGTTTGTAATAGTGACTTTTAGGGAAAAGACACGGTGGCTCACACCTGTAATCCCAGCACTTTGGGAGGCCAAGGCAGGCAGATCGCTTGAGGCCTGGAGTTCGAGACCAGCCTGGCCAACATGGTGAAACCCCGTCTCTACAAAAAATACAAAACTTAGCCAGGCTTGGTGGCAGGCACCTGTAATCCCAGCTACTCAGGAGACTGAGGTAGGAGAATCTCTTGAACCCAAGAGGTGGAGGTTGCAGTGAGTCAAGATCATGCTACTGCACTCCAGCCTGAGTGACAGAGTGGGACTGCCACAAAAAAAAAAAAAAAAAGAAAAGATTTTGCCCATATTTCGAACATCATGTATGTGACAGATAAAAGACAGCCACTAAGGCTTTGCCACTCCTCTCATTGAGAAGCAGGGTCTATTTCCCCTCTCTTGAACCTGAGCTGGCATATGACTGCTTTTACCAACAGAATAAATGATGCTATGCCAGCTGTGGGCTAGCATTTAAGACAACTGGCAGCGCTCTCTTTCAGCCTAAGCCACCACATAAAAAGTCAGACCATCTGCTGGAAGAACCACATGGAGAGGCCCTGAGTCAACATGGAGAGGAAGAAGGACTTGACTGAATCCAGCCTTCCAGCTGTCCCTACCAAGGTGCCAGGCATGAGAATGAAGCTGTCTTGAACTCTGAAGACCAGCTTAGCCACCAGGTAAATGCCACTAAGTGACCTCACTCAATGTCATGTGGGACGGAAGAATCACCCCGCCAAACCCTTCCTGGATCCCTGACCCAGAAATTTGTCAGATGTAATGGTTGTGAAAAGCCATTCAATTTGGGGGCAGTTTGTATGCAGCATAGCTAGCTGGTATGATACAACAGCCTGCAATTCAGGCAGCAGCAGCACTAACAACGATGAAATCCTGCAGGAGCGAACTCCTTTGGGGTGCCTGCCTAATTGTTTTCTTTTCTGAGAGTCTCCTCCCCAGTATCCCCTAAACCACCATCCTGCATCTTTCTCCCCCACTAGCCTCCGTGGGAGACATATGACCCACATTGGGCCAGGTGGATTCTCTCCCTCCCAACTCCCTTCCTCCCTTCCACAGTTGATGGGAGTAGACATTTGACTAGAGCTGGGCCAGGCAGATCCTCTCTCCCAGATATGTGGGACCAGGAATCAGAGGTGGCTGATCATTCTGCGTCTGTGGCTAGTAGTCCTTGAGATGCAAGTTTGGAGGGGCTGGAGGCAACTATCTCCCTACGATGTGTAGGGAAACATAGAGAAAGCTGGTCTGCGGTGGGAAGAGAATGATGCGGATGTGTAGCCAAGTAGAGAGAAGGGGCTTCCTTCTGTTGACCTTCCTTCTGCTGGGTGGGGGCGACAGGGAGTGAGGCAAGCCCAGCCTTGTCTCCTAGCCTCCTCTAAGCACCACTCACTCAGAAAGCCCAACACCAAGCTCCTCCTCTTGCCAAACTAATTCGCATCTTGCCTTCCCCACCCTGATTAAGGGCACCCATCCTTTGTCTGAACTTATCTTAAGGAGAGACAGCTATTCTTTTTTTCTCCCTGACCTCTCAAGTCCAACTGGTCAGCAAACCCTGCCTGTCCTACCTTGACCCATGGCAATGGCCCTACTCTTGCCCCCACACTGTCCCTAGATCTCTCTTTCCTTTTAGAGACAGGGTCTTGCTCTACCACCTGGTGCAGTGGTATGATCATAGCTCACTGCAACTTCAAATTCTTAGGCTCAAGTAAACCTCTGGCCTTGGCCTCCCAAAGCACTGGGATTACAGGCATGAGCCACTGCACCCAGCCCCAGATCTCTCTCTCGACACAGATCTGGTCATGCCACCGCTCTGCTCACAGACCTCCCATGCTCCCCCTTTGTCCTGGTTAGCAGTGGCCTTCACAACTGTGGCAGACGGTCTTGCTGCAGGTCAGTGACTGCCCTGACAAACTTTACAAGCTGCTCTCCACAAACCCTGCTTATTTTCCCACCTCTTCCTTCCCTCTGGATGGAATCTTCATCTACCCTTCCCTGCCTGGAAAACTCAAACCACACTAAAGGTCAGACTCGAATGACACCTCATTTATGAAATATCCCCTGGCTTCTGTGTGCTAAGCGCAGTGCTAAACATTTTCCTTGCATAACCTCTACATACCAAACTGGAGGTGATGGTCTCCTTTTTACAGAGGAAGAAACTGAGGGTCACAGAAGGTAAGCAGCCCCCTTAAGGCCTCATGTCAGGCAAGTGTGAGAGTCAGGATTGCTGCCCACAGCTGTCAGCCTGAAAGCTGCTCTCATCTACCACACTGTTCTCTGTGACCTTTTAATCCTCCCTCCTCCTTGGGGGCAAGGGAGGGGGACTCATGGCACCTTCTTCTCAGTTTCCAGAGCAGTTACTGCGCAGCACTCACCACCCTCCATTATGCCTGCAGGTCTATTGCTAGGTGGTGAGGCGGTCAAGTGCAGGGAAGGGCACAGTTATTGCTGCATCCCAGTGCCTAGTCCAGGCAAAGCAAGGACTGGGGCAAAGTAAGCGTTCGAGAAATGTGAGCCGAAATGAGATACTGCTCTGGGTTGACTAGCAAAGCTGTTGTGACCCAGGTGGCCTCATTCAACAGCCTCCTCAAAGCTTTCCTGCCACCCGTTAGTTACGGCAAGCCCTGGTCTGGGCACACGGTGTGTCCCTGGCGGCCGTGACTGCCCTCTCCCTCCCAGTCTGTGGCAGAGGGCAGAGTCTGCCTTCTCAGGTCCTGGCTCTTTGGATCCCACACAGCTGGGTGACCTCAGGGTTCTCCCCACCCATGACAGCATCTCCTGCAACCATGCTTTTTTAAACAAACACAGCAAAAGCAAGGCAAAGCAGGTGGTGGGCTGGAGGAGGCAGGGGCTGTGCAGAGGAGACAGGACACCCCTGAGAGGCAGAGCCAGGTGGGGCGGCCAGAAGGAGGGCATGCAGACTATAAGGGGAAGTGGGGCACGGCCACAACACTCCCCACTCTGTGCCCTGTCTGGTTCCACACACCCAGCCATAAAGGACACAGCTCCTCTCATTTTAAGAGCCCATATAAAGGCAGAAGGAAGTCACATACACACACACACACGCGCACGCACACACACACACACCCACACACACTCATGCACCAAAGCCCTCAACTCAGCAAGAAGCCTTGTCTTTTCAGATGCCAAACACTGAGCAGGCTTTGTTCTCCACCCACAAACCAGAGGCTGTCTCAGCAGGAAGGAGTTGGAGTTGGAGAAAAAGGAGAATTAAGAATCTATCTGGCGATGTGGATTAAATAAACAACAAATTGGCAGATTGTTTTTAAAAGGTAACATCCACTATTGGCAAACAGACATTTCTGATACACTGCTTGTGGGAGGGTGAATTGGTATGACCTTTCTACAGGGCAATCTGCAATAGTAATAAAAGGCTTAGGCCGGGCGGGGTGGCTCACACCTGTAATCCCAGCACTTTGGGAGGCTAAGGCGGGAGGATCACCTGAGGTCAAGAGTTCAAGACCACCCTGGCCAACATGGCAAAACCTGGTCTCTACTAAAAATACAAAAAAAAAAAAAAAATAGCTGGTTGTGGTGACAGACGCCTGTAATCCCAACTATTCAGGAGGCTGAGGCAGGAGACTTGCTTGAACCCGGGAGGGGGAGGTTGCAGTGAGCTGAGATCACTCCACTGTACTCCAGCCTGGGAGACAAGAGCAAAACTCCATCTCAAAATAAAAAAATAAATATAATTTTTAAAAAGCTTAAAATATACACTCCTTTTGATGGCAATTCTATTTCTAGGCTTTCAACCTAACGACATAATGAAAGATTTGTGCAAATATTTGGCTCCAGGGATATTTAATGTGGCACTGTTAAAAGAAGTGTGAAACAGAAGCAACCTAAATTCCAGTATCAGGGGACTGGATGAGTAGACTGCAGACACTCTACAGCTTTAAGATGTGCTGGAAACGTGCTTTGAACAATATGGAAAGATGTTCACAGTACTGTCTTCAGGGAAAAATAGGTATACGTTTTTCCCAGATTAATAAATCAAATCCAGGCCAGGTGCGTTGGTTCACACCTATAATCCCAGCACTTTGGGAGGCTGAGGTGGGAGGATAGCTGGAGGCCAGGAGTTCAGGACCAGTATGAGAAACATAGTGAGACCCTATGTTTACAAAAAAATAAAAAAATGAGCCAGGCATTGTGCATGCCTGTAGTCCCAGCTACTTGGGAGGCTGAGGCAGGAAAACAGCTTGAGCCCAGGAGTTAGAGCTATGATTGTGCCACTGCCTTCCAGCCTGGGTGACAGAACAAGACCCCATACTTAAAAAAAAAAAGGAACCCACTGCTTTTAAATTTAGAGGTACTTCACCTGAAAATATGCTGAGTATATTACTGTAAAATTTAACTAATACACTATTCAAAAATAAGTTGATGTTATGAGAATGCCTGGTCTATATCTATATATGCAGAGAAAAAGGTCAAAATGAGGCAATACTATGCTCATCATGGTTATTTCTGGGATGTGAACTCCTGGTGTTTTACAACTTTTTTTGGTAATTGATATGTTATGTTAGGTCAATACATACATATTATTTTGTAATCCCAAAGAAATTAGTTGTCTTATTTTAAAATATCCATCTATAATACTCTAAGAGGCTGTTTTCACCTACATCTGAAATTTGTAATTCTAGAGAAGTATGGACTTTGGTGTCAGGAAGTTGCAGTTATGGTCCCTGGTGCTGTTTTGGAGCTGGGGACACAGTGGAAACAAGGAAGAGACAGACCTTCATCAGCTAAAGCCTCCAATACCATTACTGATGAATAGAGAGGCTCTGAAGGAAAAGGACTCCGGGTCTCTGAAAGGAGAGTGTGAGGCAAACAAATCATCCTAGACATGGGGATGAGGACACCCCTTTCTCCTTGAGAGAGTGATGCTTGAGGCAGGACAGGTCTGCACCCTGGGCCACCTCCAAATGAACCACCATGAGGTTGGGAGAAGTTATGATGAAGCTACTCTGGACTGTAGCCCATCTCAGTTACTCAAGTTTTCTGGTCAGAAATCTTCCTCACATTCCTTAGAGGAAAAGAAGGAAGAATTGTTCTATAGTTCGCCTTCTGATCTTTTTTAAGCAAATGGGAAATCGCCCCCTTCTGGCAGTTGCTCCCCAGACTTCTGTTTTGGAGTTAGGTTCTCACCATCCTATGTTAGGGCTCTAAGGGAAGGTAAGAGAAGAGAGAACTGAGACTTTTGCCTTCACTCTGAAGTGGTCCAAATCCTCAGTTGTGAATGGCCTCAAGGGGAGCCAAGATTCCACTCCCTGCCTGAAGGGTCACTGTCCTTCACTGTACCGGTGCCATGAAGGAAGCTCTAACAGGATACTCCTTCTTCCCTGGAAAGGCAGGAGAGCTGGGCATCTATGAGTGGGGACCCCAGGGGGACCTGCAATCACCAGACTCACCTTCCAGAGCAGCACGGCCAGCAGCAGGAAGATGAGGATTCCCACCAACAAACTGATGGCGATGATCCACCCCACGACGTAGCCACGGGGCTCCAGATTGTGCAGGGCCTCGAAGACCACCTAGGAGGCAACGCAACAGTGAAAACATTTCCTTTTTTATTTTTTTTTTGAGACAGAGTCTTGTTCTGTCACCCAGGCTGGAGTGCAATGGCACAATCTCGGCTCACTGCAACCTCTACCTCCTGGGTTCAAGCGATTCTCCTGCCTTAGCCTCCCAAGTAGCTGGGATTACAGGTGCCTGGCTAATGTTTTGTATTTTTAGTAGAGACAGGGTTTCACCATGTTGGCTAGGCTGGTCTCGAACTCCTGACCTCAGGTGATCCACCCACCTCGGCCTCCCAAAGTTTTGGGATTACAGGCACGAGCCACAGTGCCAGCTGAAAACGTTTCCTAAACAGAAGTGCGCAGAGCATGATGGAGCCCAGCCTGGGCTTGACATTTGGAGAGAACTACAGAGAAGTATCCAGACTGTTGTTACTAATAAATAAATACATAAGCTCCGCTGAACGATTTTCTGGTTGCAAACTGATGGATTTTTCACTGGCACCTGAAAAGGCACTTGAAATCCAAGCCCTAGGTCTTGAAAGGGTTGTAATGACAACAACCCTGATTTAAATATCATGAAGTGAACAAAAGTGTACTGAAAAACTTAGAGGACACACTATGTTCTTGATTCAGAACAGATAACGACAATGTACCTTTTGTTTCAGCTTTGAAACAAAGAACACGGGAGTGCTCTGCATGTAAGGCAGCTCTTCTTTCCAAGTGTTCAGCTCAATGTGTCACTTAGAGGAATTATTTGATTAATGCCAGTTTCCCCAGTAGACTGTGGACCCCACTAGAGTTAGGACACAGTCTGTCTTGGGTCTCATGGTAGGGCCTAGCACATTGGAGAAACTCGTTCGAGAGGCTGTACTGTAGTTTCCCATGGGAGCCACAGCAATTGGAGCCCATGTTCCAATGAGGCAAGTTTTCCCAACTTTTCCTGAAACCCAGTGGTATGTGGAACTGGCTCATATCAGCTCATGAGAGGCAACTGTGCATCTCTTCCTAACTCCGTACCTAGTGACATTGCAATGGCAGTTTGAAATGGGCTATGGTGGGAGTATTTGGCAAACAAATCAGGGCACCCCTACCCTCCTGCCAGAGAACTGATTGTTAAACATGTATCAGTGCTCACTTCTGATTGTCCCCTTCGGCTCTGCTTTATCCCCACTGGTCACAGGGGAGTTTGGTTTTGCAGAATTCAAAGCATCTATTGCGTCTTCTGCTACCAAATAACTCTCCCCAATACACCACTGTCCCATTTAAGCTCCTCACTGCAAAAGACAAAAAAATCACAGCTCTGGGCAGTCATTCTCTCCTTTGGCTCCAGACAGGCTGGCCAACCACAGGTCTTTCTCCAAGCTTTGCCATCTCTTTGGAATGTCCATTCCCCTTTGGGAAAGTCTTTTCTAAACCTAGTTCAATCCTCTGTCAAGAAGCCTCACTGATCGCTGAAGCCCACTGGTCCAGCCCCTTGCTCAAGCCCAAGCAGTGACTGGGCACAATACTGATGTTATAATGCCTAGCACTGCTTATTTAACCTTTTTAGGGCCTGGCTTCCATCCCTCTCTAACACTTATTGAATATTGTCTGTGTCAGTTTATGCTTTTTTTTGCAATCTCTTGTCTAAGTCATACAACAGCCCTATGAGGTCTTCCACACCCATTTTACAGAGGGGAACATGGAGGTCCAGAGAGGATATTTGCTCTGGATTGTGTAGTTCAAATGCACAGTCACGATTTGAACCCAGCTCTTAGCCAACCCCAAACCCCCAAATCTGAGCTTGTCATCACCACACTGCAGTGCCTGGTTGACAGTGGCCTTCTTTATAGGCTACCTGTCAACTGAATGAATTACTTACTGGCTCTTCCCTGGTGATAAGGAAAGAAAATGAGACCACCTCTACTTCATTGCCTCCATTCCCGCAGCTGGGGTAGGAGAGTGTGTGCGTGTGCCAGGGGATGAGGCAAATGGACACACAGGCCACCACAGTTTCTGAGCCTCAGTTTTCTCATCCGCAAGACAGGAGCAGAACAGTGCCTTCCCAGAAATTGAAAAGGGGTAATGCACACAGAGTCCCCAGCATAGCATCTGGCACAGAGTCCGCCCTTGACAAATGGAGTGTTCCTGTTAGCATCATTGTAGGGAGTTTTTTTTGAGGTTGTGCATGGCTGGCTACTTTTTAGTTTTTATTTTATTTTTTGAGACAGAGTTTCTCTCTGTCACCCAGGTGGAGTGCAGTGGTGCAATCTCAGCTCACTGCAACCTCTGCATCCTGGGTTCAAGCAATTCTTGTGCCTCAGCTCCCAAAGTGCTGGCATTATAGGCATGAGCCACCACTCCCAGCTCTTTTTACTTTTTAAAAATTACTTATTGAAGTCGAATATACATAGAGAAAAGTATAGGTATCCTAAGTGTATAGCTCGCTGAATTTTCACATACCAAATGCTAAATGCATGTGTGTAACCAGCACTCAGATCAAGAAACAGAAGGTGACCGGCTCCCTAGAAGCTCCCTTCCCCCTTCCTTCCAGTCCCCACCCCCACCAAGGATGTCTAACAGCTTGGATTAGCATCACCTGCTTCTTTGGGTCCTTGCTATGAATGGAATGATGATGTATGAACTACAGTACCTGGTTTCATTTCTTTTCTCTTTTCTTTTCTTTCTTTTTTTGAGACGGAGTCTTGCTCCGTTGCTCAGGCTGCAGTGCGGTGGGGCAATCTCAACTCACTGCAACCTCTGCCTCCTGGGTTCAAGCAATTCTCCTGTCTGAGCCTCCCAAGAAGCTGGGATTACAGGCGCATGCCACCACACTCGGCTGATTTTTGTATTTTTCATAGAGACAGGGTTTCACCATGTTGGCCTGGCTGGTCTCGAACTCCTGGCCTCGAACTCCTGGCCTCAGGTGATCCACCTGCTTCAGCCTCCCAAAGTGCTGGGATTACAGGCATGCATCTGGTTTCTTTCTCTCACTGTTATGTTTGGGAAATTGCTCCAGGCTGTGGCATGTCCACTCTCACTGCTGTACAGTATTCCTCTGTGTGGACATACCACTGTTTATTTATTCATGCTATTATTGATAGGCATGGAGATTATTTCCAGCTTGGGGTTATTAAAAAGAGCAATTTTCAGATAATAGGCAATTCTCAGGGAAGAACATTTACTGGTAGGAGGTGGTAGGACAGAGTGGGCTCTGAAGTCTGTCATCCTAAATCCACTATTTTCTATCTAGTTCAAATGAGCAGCTCTCATCTTTAAAGGCAGACAGACTCATGTCTTTGGGTTCCTGCCCTTAAAAAGCTGTGGATCAAATCACTTCCTGCATTTGGAATCTCTCATGGTGTCTTGTACAGATGAACTGTGAGGAACTGTTAGGAAAGATGGAGAGGGAGGAGCGCTGGCTTTAATCTGGTCCTGGTGCAACCGTAGGCAACCAACTTTCTCTTCCTCTGTGAAATGGCGGTCTGATAGGGAAATGTGGCAGTTCTGTGAAAGCACCTGGGTGTGAGAAAAGTCTGCTAAACCTTATTGTTGACTATGAATCAGACTGAGACACTGAGCTCAGCGGGGTTAGCTGTAAAACCCAGCCCCCTGTGCTAACCCAGATGGCTTCTTAGGGACACTGAAATCTGCATACCAGCAACGCCACGTTGGAGGTCTGGTTTTGTGGACACAGAGGTTAAAGTAGCAGCTACAGTTTAGTCTGTCAAGTTCCACAAGAATGCCCTGTCACTTCCCCGGAATGTGGGCTTCATCTCTTATTATTTTTAGGGATGCTGTTCATCCCCTTGGATGCGTGCTCCATGCTTTGGCAGAGCCTGTTCTCTCACATCACAACTCTCAAACTCATCTGTGAGTGATGAGCTGAGTGTCCTGTAGCTCTAGGAAGTCATATCTTAGATTAAAAAACAAAACTCTAAGGAAGGAACAGCAGCATGGACGACATGGAGAGGCAAGAAGCACTGATGATCAGGTCCCGTCATCACCACCAATGAGCTGGGTGATCCTTGGTTAAGCCCCTACACCTTTCTAAACAACTTTTCTCTCCATCCTCTTGTTTCCATCCCAGGTACCTCCTGGCTCACATCTCGTCTTCTCTCACCAGCACTATTTCAGGAGGCTTGGAAAGGCCTCCTTGCTGATAGAGTTGTTTTTCTAAGGCACAGGTCTCATCATGTCACTTCTCGGTTTACAGTATCCATGACTTTCCTTTAGGCTGAGCATCTAATTCAGGACACCAGGGCCTTCATACTCTGGTCTCCTTCCTGCCTTTCCAGCTGCTCCCAGGACACATATTTACATTCTAGCCAGTTAGAGGCCTCTCCTCTGTGAGACCGGTGGTCCCCAGCCTCTCTGCAGGCTGCTCTTGCCTCCTGAAATGCCCTTCCATCCTTGTCCATTTGACAAGCTCATTATTGCTCATCTGAAAATGTTCATACTTGACCAGTCTGGCCAACATGGTGAAACCTCGTGTCTACTAAAAATACAAAAATCAGCCAGGTGTGATGGTGTATGTCTGTAGTCCCAGCTACTTGGGAGGCTGAGGCAGGAGAATCACTTGAGCCCGGGAGGTGGAGGCTGCAGTGAGTCAAGGTGGCACCACTGCATTCCAGCCTGGGTGAAAGAGCAAGACTCTGTCTTAAAAAAATAAAAAATTAAAAAATAAAATAAAAATGTTCATACCCTTTGATCCATTAATTCAGTACTTGAAAACTTACTCAAAGGAAATAAATATAAAATACGGAAAAAGTTTTATGCTCAAAGATGTTCACTGCAGAATTATTTATATTGGTACTAAATTAGCAATATCCTAAGTGTCTAACATTAGGGCAATAGATAAGTAAACTATGGTCAATCACAAAATAGAATACCACAGAACTATTAAAAATGATGACAGAAAGCTGGTTGTCAAAGCATAATTTTCAAAAAGTTAAAAACATGATTCTCATACAAATATATAGTGAATACGTGGCAAAGATTTATTTAATTTATTATTGAGGAAGTCAGCAGGGTGGCAAAGCTAGTTTTAAAAAGACCAGAAAAAAATGTGTAGTCACAGGAAAAAAATTACTGAAATCAGATTACTAAATCAAATACAAAACTGGCTAATACCCTACAAGGCAATAAATTCTAACCTTTGGGATATTTTCAGTCAAACAGAAATCATTTTTATCTTTACTGGCAAGAGTCATTTATAACTTATCAGCCTTCCGTAAGTTAATAGGTAACTTTACAGAATTTGGGACCTCCACCAGTGCTTCTCAAATTTTACTGTGTATAAGAATCACATGAGGAACTCTATTAAAATGCAGATTCTGAATTAGAGTCTAGAATGGGGCCTGAGAGCCTAGATTTCAAATAATCTCCCCCATGATGCTGATGCTGCTGGTCTGTGGACCACACTTTGAGTAGAAAGGGGCGAGGGGATGCTCCAGTATGACACTGAAAGGATATGTAATCATCTTTTTGCCTGATTTCCAAATTTTAGATACTTTTGAAAACATAGTAATAATGTGGGAAAATGATGTTTATTATGCTAAGTTAAAAAATCAGAAGATGCTGGCTCATGCCTATAATCCCAGCACTCTGGGAGGCCAGGGTGGGAGGGTTGCTTGAGCCTAGGAGTTCAAGATGAGCCTGGGTAACATAGTGAGACCTTGTCTCTACAAAAACACAGAAATTAGCTGGGCATGGTGGCATGCAACTGTCGTCCCAGCTATTTGGGGAGCTGAGGCAGGAGGATCATTTGAGCATGGGATATCGAGGCTGAAGTGAGCTGTAACTGTGCCACTGCGCTCCAGCCTGGGTGACAGAGCAAGACCCCGTCCAAAATAAAATAAAATAAAATAAATAGGTTGGGTATGGTGGATCACACCTGTAATTCCAGCACTTTGGGAGACCAAGGCGGGTGGATCAACTTGAGGCCAGGAGCTCAAGCCAGCCTGGCCAACATGGCGAAACCCCGTCTCTACAAAAATTAGCCAGGTGTGGTGGCGCACACCTGTAATCACTTGAATCTAGGATGTGAAGGCTGCAGTGACCTGAGATTGTGCCACTGCACTCCAGCCTGAGCGACACAGTGAGTCTCAAAAAAATAAAATAAAAAATAAAAAATAAAAAGATTATCTAATACGTAGAAGACTTCAGCTTTGCAGCAATACAGTAGGAACCCTTTAAAGTAAACAGGTGTTTTTTTGATATTATGAATATTATTTCTCTTTTCTACGTTTTACTATTTTTTAAATTGAGCATTTTAAAGGCAAGTAAAACCATTTTATTTTTTTAAAGGAGAGACTCTGCTCCAATATCTGCTTTCCCAAGAAGCCTGCCTTACTCCTGTTTTCAGCAGAATTAATCATTCTCTGAGCTCTTGGAAACATAGTGATTTTCAACCTCCTATAGCATCCCAGTGTATACAATGGAGCTTCTTAGGTGGGCAGCTAGAACCCAGACTACTCAGCCCCCATTTGTTTTTATTTTTTGGAGACAGGGTCTCACTCTGTTGCTTAGACTGGAGTGAAGTGGTACAATCTTGGCTTACTATAGCCTCAACCTATACTATAGCCTCAATCACTTGAGGTGGGCTCAAGTGATTCTCCCACCTCAGCCTCCCAAGTAGCTGGGACTACAGGCAAACACCACCACAGCCAACTAATTATTATTATTATTATTTGTAGAGATAGGATTTTGCCATGTTGCCCAGGCTGGTCTTGAACTTCTGGGCTGAAGTTATCTGCATGCCTCAGCCTCCCAAAGTTCTGCAGGTGAGCCACTGCACCTGACCCAGCCCCTCTTTCTAAGCCCTGTTCCTCCCTAACCTGACCTCAGCTGCACTGAACAAACTCAAGGGAACCCATGGCTCCAACAAAACAGAGTTTTAAAACCACAGCTGTATACTTCAGAGTCCCAGTTCTAGGTCCTTCTCACTCTTTAAGGTAATGATAAATCTTCCTGTCTACGGACTCCAGTAAACTGTGATTTGTATACAATAAAGACATGAATGCATGCATTCCTGTCACCTGAACCAAGGCACTGATTCATTATATGATTCATGAATATACAAATTAATACATTCAACATCATTTCTGCTATAAAATCAGATGAAGTATGAACACGACTCAGTTTGCAACAAAAGAGATGTGGGATTTGAAGTGGAGTCTCTGAGTGTGATTATTTTCTCTCTCCTTCAAAAATATATTTGCAAATGTTATATCTTTTGGGGGAGTCCTGGCCATCCATCCATCTGTCCATCCGCCCATCCACCACCTATCCATCTGTCAATCAACCTGTCCATCTGCTCTGTCCATCCGTCTGTCCGTCGTTCCATCCATCCATTCATCCATCCATCCATCCATCCATCCATCCATCCAACCAACCAACAAATGTGTCTGCAGTATCTCCTATGTGCTAGACATTGTGGAAATTCATTGATGAATAAAACAGGCAGTCTTTGCTTTCACAGAACTTCCAGCTTCTAGAGACTACTAGTCAATTAGAAAAATAAATGCATCATTATAACTGTGGAAGTGCTACAAAGGAGAAGTTCATGATGATAAAAGATCCTCATGATAGAGGCATGGGAGTGAACAGAGTTCCCTGAGGAGCCATTTGAGCTGAAGGTGAAAGGACAAGCAGAAGTTTACCAGCTAAACAAGGGAGGGAAGATCATTCCAAGGAGAGGGAACATGATGTGCAAACCCCCTTTGGCATGAGTGAACTTGGCAAGGGTGAGACACTGCCATTGGACAGTGAACTGGAGCCAACAGGATGAACAAGAAGCAGCGGGAAGATGTTCATGATATGCTGGAGAGACAGGAGCTGGAGGCTGCAGTAAGATCTCCATGCTTTACCTTAAGAGGAATGAGAAGCCACTGGAGGATTTTGAGCAGGGCAGTGATGTGATTTGCATTTTGCAAAGTACACTGCAAAATGAATCTAGGTCAGAAGAGATAACTGAATGTGGGAGTACAAGGAAAAAGCCCCCGTGAGAGGGCTGCGGGGGAAATGGTTTCCCCAGGTTAGATCCACGCTTTCAGTAAGAAAGGAGGTGGTGTGAAAGGAGAAGATTGACTGAGGAGGAGGAGAAGTCTGCTGGTTTTGGGGGAGTGGCTGTGAGGGTCGTAGCAGGCTGAGCTGGGGAAGGCAGGAGCTCTGGCCAGTGAAGGGATGGCTGATGGCCTGGTGCGGACCCTGGCTGGAGGGCTCACACACTGGACGCTGACTAACAAAACAGACGAAAATGGGGAGTATGAGGATCTGTCTCAAGGGGGCCTTTGAGGAGGGCAAACAGGCCTTTGAGACAGGTCCAGACACTGGCACCCTGCCTGCTTCTGTAGAATTTAACGTACCTGAGGTTGCCAAGCTGGTGTCATGGAGTGGCCAGAAGCCAGCTTCCAGTCTGAGGCAGTGGGTGAACCTAAACCACACTATTTGATTCACTTCTGTGTTTCTGGAAACTTTTATGTTCTGATCAATGCAAATATGCCTACTGTAACAGCTGGCAATGCCCATGTCTCCACAAGGCCTGAGAATATGATCACAATGGCAGTACATCTCACCCAGGCTTCTGCTGGATGGAGGGCTTCCAGAGACGGAGGGACAGCTCGGTCAATACCATCCAAGAGGAGGTTCAACTCCAGACCTAGGCCAGCTGAAGGTCAATGACAAGGGCAAGATGCTCTCTGCAGTCAACATCACACACTTGTCTCAATAGAAGGAAGGAATTTATATAAAATAAGAAGTGGAAAGAGAATAACATCTGTGACAGTGAGATGACATTTCCACCCGATTCTGATTCCATCTAATAGCCAGTGCAGGTGTGGGGGAGGGAGGAGGGAGACAGGGTGGTTGGGGCTGGAATAAATGTTTTCAGCAGAACCATGCCTCAGATGGCTCTCAGAACTCAGCCTAGAAGGCAAGCCAGTTCAGAGGCACAGGGAGACTTATGGAGACGACATAAATGAACAGAAAATAAACTGTACATTTGGCAAGACTGGCACTGTAAGTCTGTGCTGTGATGAACAGAGATGTCAAACATGCCCCATGCCTGCCAGGTGTCATGTTTCCAAAATCCCTTTCTCTGTCAGAGTTTGCAGAGGAATGAGCTGGGCTTTCTAATTCCTGTTACTGGTAATGGATCACATTTGTAGAGTACTTACTATGCACCAGGCACCATGCTGAGAGGTTTACTATCTACTACTCCCCATAATCCTCACATTGCTCTTGAGAGAGAGAGGGATGGAGCTCATTTACCTCAAGCGATGGAGAATCCCGAGGAGTCTTCATTCTCCCCTTGACTGCACATCTGTGCATCTAGTTAAGGACCAGGACACAATGGGAAGAGTTCCAAAGCCAACTGACCACCAAATAAGTCTGAGCATGATGTGCTCCTGAGGCCATTAGAGCCAAGGGTCACTCCTAAGACAGAGGGTCAGCTGTCTACCACCCAGGAATGCGATTCCTCCCACCTGCTCTGTGTGTGGGCTCTGGGCTACAGGACAGCACAGGCCAGAGGGGTAAGGGGTCAAGGGAGACTCAGGGCTCGCCAACAGGCAGAGCTGTGGCCAGAAATTCCTCTTCCACTGACCGGCTGTGGGGCATCCAGCAGGCTCCTTCACTCCCGGAGCCTCTGTTCCAAAGAAGATGGAAGTTGTAGTGCCTAGTTCACAGGGGTGATGTCAGAGTGACAGGAGGTAATCATAGCACATGCCTAGCACTTCACAGGAATTCAGCAGATTCGAGCACACCTCACACAATGAGGTCATTCATCTTAATGGGACATGGACACGCACACTGAGCACAGCACCCAAGCTCTGAGTGCAGAACATTTCCATCTGTGGCCAAGACTCGGTTCTCTGCCCAGATCCTTTTGGGTCCCCTCTCTTGATTTGGCCTGCCCAGCCCCCAGGTTTGTCATGCCTTCACTTCTAGAGGCCTGCCTCACTTTTAGAGGGTAAAGTGGCTTGGGGTTACTACCTCTGGAACAGCCCCAACCAATGACTGGCAGATACAGGAGTGTGAGACCCCAGCTCCCCTGCTTCCAGGCAGGACCAACTCCGAGGTCAAGATCAGGGTGGAGCTAAGATGGTCCCTGAAATCTCACCCTTGCTTCCCTTCTCCTCTTTCCTATCCTGTCCCATTTATTTCTGGGTCTCATTAGGAGCATCTCCCTAAATAAACTGCTTACATGATGCCCTCATCTCAGGGTCTGCTTCTTGAGAATCCAGCCCAAGACACCATCTGACTTCATCTTGAATGCCTGATCTTCCTTGTCCACGTGGGAAATTCCTTCAATACTTGTTCGGGGGTCACTCCTTCTGTGAAACCTGTCTTGACCTCTTCAGCACAGATACTCTGGGCACGTATGCATACAGTGCTGCAGGGGTGTGATGTGTGTGCACGTGTGTGTGTGTGTGTGTGTGTGTGTGTGTGTGTGTGTGTGTGTGTGTTGACCTGTTTGGGGCTGTGGAAGTCTTGAGGGTAAAAATTTCATCTTGTTCATAGTTACTGGGGGTATAACTAGCATCTAGTGAAAGCCTTTGATGGACTGGGCAACCTTCTGAGAATACAACTTTCCATAGCAGTGGCTTCTTTAGAGCCCACGGGTCCAGTGAGGGGGTATGGAAGCCACCAAGAGGGAGTTCCAGGAACCTCACCCCTGAGTCAACTGAAGCATATTTCAATTTAGAAATGGGTTCTGTTGCCTAAAAATAATAATGATGATGATCATACTCATCATGACGACTGGAAACTTTGATTTAGAGTAAACTGACCAGGACTTGAGGATTTGGGGAGAAGGAGGCTCATTTTTCATGTGGTTCATCTCCTTGGCCATCTCTTTATGCAATGACAGCCACTATTAACAGAGTGCCACCGTGGATGTGCTGTGCAAGGGGCTTTGCATCGAGATGACACTGGATCACTCCCAGCCCTCCAGGATAAGCATTCCTTACGTGTGAGTGGCACCGGTCACCGCACCTTCACTGACATAGACATACTGTCCACTTGCTCTGTCTCCTCTGCCACCCTGACCTCTTGCCAGGTGAAAATCGCAGCCTTCTAACCAGCTCCTTATTTCCACCTTTGCCCCTAAAATCCACCATCCACACAGTGGCCTACGATTTTTAAAGAACATACACTGGATCATGCCATTCCCTGCTCCAAACAGAAGCTTTCAATGGCTTTCCTTTGTAAGTGCCCAGTGGTGTTACCTGGCATGGACCCTGCCTAGGTCTACCATGGTTCTCTTCACTGCTAACCAGCTTCCTGCTACCTGGTCTTTCAGTGCCTTGAAGAGGCCAAGCCTTTTGGGGCTCCATACAGCTCTCCTCCCCAACTGAGACACTCTTCCTCATGCTTGGCAAGCGAATTCCTTCTCATCTGCCAGTCTCAGCTTCCTTGTAGAAACATTCCTCGACCCCCAATCTAAAGCAGGCTACTCCCTGGGGACTAACCTCAACTGGAAATAGAATTCTTGTTTGCGTCCTTGCTGACTGCTGCCCCCTCGGCCAGCTCTGGGAGGGCACGGATCATGTCTCTTTTGTTCCCCATCGAGTCCCCAGTGCCTAGCACAGTGCCTGGCTCTTAGCAAGCCCTCAATAAATATTCATCAAACAAATAAGCAAATGATGACCATTAGAAAATATGACTCGTGTGTTTGGAAAACTATACCGAGAGTTTTCTCAATTCTTGATGGTCAGAGCTTAATTCTCACATGTGGGGAGGTGGGTGAAGAGAAAGAACTACTCACCACCCACTGCTGATGGCATAGGATGGGGGCGGTGATGACCCTTCAACAACCCTCCTCTTCATCCTACATCTCAGCATAATGTGAGGTTCAAGGGGGGAAAGATTCTATTGTCACATGGAACATGATTGTAACTATAATTGGTCACATAAATGATAAATAACAAGTCACAGTCTATTTCATGACAGTAAAAGCAGTAAACTTTGCCTCTAGAAGCAGTACACCAAAGGAATGGTAAGTGGCATTTTTTTGGAGTAATCTTGCTTGCCATGTTGAAAGATGCCTCTCTGGTTGAGATACCAGGCTTGCATCTTTGGTGAGGGCAGTGTTAGGGAGTGGTGTGAAGGGGCAACTCACATGTGGGCAGGACTGTGGAGGGGCTGTGCCACCCTGAGCAGCAGCTATGCACCAGCCCTTCTTCTAGGAGCTTCATGCTGGTATCACTGAACCTTCTCAGCAACTCCAGAAAGTAGAAAGGTTTCTGCCTGACTCCAGAGCACGAGGTAGAGAGAAGCCAGGGATAGCTGTGTCCAGTGTCCAGGACACCATGCCAGACTTCCTGCGCCTGGACGCAGCCTATAGCCCTCAGGTTTCCAGATCCCTCTGATTTTTGGTCTGGTTCTCCAGCCTTCCAGCGCAATTCTGAGCACTTCCACTGGATAGCCTTCGAATCCATTCTGATTCTGCTGAAATGAGACAGAGCCAGTCTTTCCAGCTGTCACCAAAGACCTCAGTCTGGTGCATGCTCCATATGGCAGCAGCTTACCGACTCATCTGTGGACTTACAAGTTTATCATGTATTCTGCTATTTGAAAATATCAAGAAAATAGCAAGAATTCATGCACGCTTCTCACACAGACTGAGACGGGAGTTTGAGGGGATGTCTTGCAGTAACAGAGCTGATTCCATAAAGTCTTGATTTGCCTTGGGGGAGTTTCTGGCTTCAGGGGTCCTTTCCTCTTCTGTGGGCCTCAGTAACCAATTCAGGGATCAGAGAAAGCGCCTTCACCCCTCAGCCTCACCTGATAACTTTTTATGGCTGCACGAAGACAGATGAACGTCTCCGGAGCCTACTCATTTTCTTTCTGAAGGCCTTCTCAGAGATAAATTCCTTTTCTTTCTGCAGGCCAGCTTTCCAGGGCATGATTAACTACGTTTCTCCTGTTCTTCATCTTTATAGTTTCTGTGGGCCTCAAACAACACTTTCTGCATTTTCCCCTCTCGCCCCCTACTCATCACTCCCTGAAAGGTAAGTAGAGTTGGGTTGAAGATGAAATTCAACATGTAATTGGCACCTCGCAACCAGCACTTTGATTCTGCAGTCACACAGGTCTCACATGGCATTCTCAGGTTTGGGTCTGTACAGAGCCAGGTCTGGCTGATGTGGCTGGTCCTAGAAACATGCTAACATGCTCCCTGAGAAACGCCCTGGAGCCTGTCATTAGTGAACCAGGCAAAGCCTCAAGAATCTATGGCATATTTCTAGTTATTCACCCAAATGCTCTGTAAAGCACAACTTGTACCATGGCATAAAAATAAAAGATATAAAGAATCACAGGACATGTGTGCATGCTCCAGACGCCCTGGAGGCTTCCTGTGCCAGTGTTCCCACAAGTGGCGTAAACCTGAGGGCATCATGTTATGAGATGGGGGCTGCAGTGACTCGCAGGATCAGGCATTCCAACCGAGAGAACCGAGCAGAATGGGAAATCAGCAAGATGAAGCCCTCTCCTGCTCCCAGGCACCCCTCTACCAACAGCCTCCTGTGAGAGCAGATTAGTCTCTATCCAGAAATTAAGGGAGAGATTGCTCATAAAGATGACAAGCTGCTGCCATTTCTAAAAGATGTGTATGTTGATTCCAAAGATCTTGTGTCTTCCGCGCAGGTAAAAGCTGCTGAAACACATCAAGAGCCAAAGGAATTCAGATTGCTGAAAGGTCATCACTTTGATATGATAAATATTAAGAGCATTCCCAAAGGCAAAATTTCCATTGTAGAAGCACTGACACTTCTTAACAATCATAAACTTTATCCAGAAACATGGACTGCTGAGAAAATAGCGCAAGAATACCAATTAGAACAGAAAGATGTGAATTCCCTTCTTAAATATTTTGTTACTTTTGAAGTCAAAATCTTCCCTCCTGAAGACAAGAAAGCAATACAATCAAAATGAAGAAAATCACAAAAATTTCCTATGTGTACTCCTCATCCCTCATCCTGACTATTTTCTCATTTTTGGCATATTAAATTATGTTAATTACCAAATGTTTAATGCTCTCATTGTGAGAGCATAGTCTTTTTTTTTTTTTTTTTTTTTTTTTTGAGACGGAGTCTCACTCTGTCACCCAGGCTGGAGTGCAGTGGCGTGATCTCAGCTCACTGCAAGCTCCGCCTTCTGGGTTCACGCCATTCTCCTGTCTCAGCCTCCCGAGTAGCTGGGACTACAGGCGCCCGCCACCACACCCAGCTCATTTTTTTTTTTTTTGGTATTTTTTAGTAGAGACAGGGTTACACCACGTTAGCCAGGATGGTCTCGATCTCCTGACTTTGTGGTCCACCCGCCTTGGCCTCCCAAAGTGCTAGGATTACAGGTGTGAGCCACCGCGCCTGGCTGAGCGCATACTCTTAATATATATTGAGCTCCCTGACTTTTCAAGATTGCCATGGAATATATTTTGTTTTCTTTTAATTTGGTTTAGGCATATTTTATATGTACATGTCAGCATGTCTAATCAGTACATCTGCACCTTTATTATAAGTAGAAGAGTTAATTTGCTATTTTAGGCACATCATACCAACTCTTAAATTGGTCAGATGACCCCTTGGGAAATGTCCTGAATCCCTCATTTAAGTTTTACTTTCCAAGTTAGGTGTTTAGTTCATTCTTCATATGTGATAGTGAAAGTAAAAGCTTTCCTGACTCGTAAGGCTGACATTTTCTTGTTAGGGAAAGAGACTCGATAGCAAGGTAAACTAACAGTATTTCCCAAATAAAGGCACACAGGAGAAAATAATGAATCAATAGAATCTAATTAAAATTACTACCCCAGGGAATAAGAAGTATTGAGGATTTATTTTATTTTGAATTGGTTTTAAGTATGGAATAATCATCTTTACAGTTATAAAAAAATTAGTGTTTACAAAATGTTGGGCATTTCTGCTTTGACAAACAAACAGGTAAGTCCCGTGGCCTTCAGAGGCAGGCAGCAGTAGAAACTTTCCAAAAAGTAACAATTTCTCTGGATTTAACATGGAAATAGAAAAATTTAAAGAATAATTAAATTAAAAAACCATGGTAAATGAAATGTGGTGATGATATACAGTTTCGGATGTTAATGCTAGTTGAAAGAGAGAAAAAATATCAAGTAGAAGCAGAGGACAGGATCATTGGAAGGGACCTGAGAAATTGCCGCTTCATCCATTTTAGCACACTTATTAGCATGGCATGTACCAATATTAGGAAATTGAGTGACAGTGTGTGAGTTTAGCTCTGCCTAATATATTACTGCTTGTGGGATCTTTGGGAGACTGTATCCTCTTTGAGATTGAATTTCTTCTATAAAATGAGCATAATACTACCTTACTTAAATTTAAGGGTCATCATGAAGATAAATGTACTACATTTATAAACAGTAAAGTACTACAAAGGACCAAGCAAATACGAATTATTTTTTGCAGTGGAGAAACAAGCGCCCGGTGAGAATATATGACCTAAGGTTCTGTAGTTTATGACCTAACCAGGCCCAGAATGAAGTTTTTCATATCCTAGTAGTGTGTTTTTTCTGTTTTGACAAAAAACAGCATACCTCAGAGAAGGAAAAAAGTGTGAATTGTGGGTATATTGGGGTTATCAGTGTGCTTCTGAGGGAAGACAGGCATCACTACTTCCCAGAGATGCCCTGGAAATGATATAGAAGATGCTGAAGAATTCAACGTGATAACAGAATGAGGCATTTGTAGTAATGCTGAGAACAGAAAAATGGACTAAGTGGAAAATTTGTTTGCATGTCTTTGAATGTAGATTTGTTATGTGAACAAACTACCTAGTTTATTTTTAGTTCAATACAATAATTGTTTTAAGAAAACATGAAATAACTACTCAATATAAAATGCATTTTAAAACTCCTATTAAAAAAGATCACAGGAAAATTGCTTGATTTCTCCATCAGTTAAATTTACCACCGTGCACACGTTATGTGGTTAAAAATCTGATTGTTTTCCTCCCCCACTCGATACCAAATGCAAGTACATTTCCTGTTCCTTCCAAGGCCATAACAATTTGGTGCCTAATCTAAAATCTTTGAAACTTTGCCTAATTTAAATTTGGTGGCGAGGCTCTATGGAAATTCCCCTTCAGACTGATAGTTGACAGAAGGCCAGGCATTCAGAAGAATCACGCAGGGAAGATCGTGTTTGTTCTAAAAAGGCAAACCTTCCTACTCAGAAAAGATTTTTTTTTTCCTGCCAGGAAAATTGAGAACAACAGATTGTAGAACTTCATTGTAGCTCATGGACTGAAAAGGCAAAGTCATGGAAAGGAGGGAGAAGGGGCATTGTGGAATTCCCATGTGTGTTAATTTTTTCTTAGGAGTGCTAAAAAAAACCTCTCGGCCTCTTCCCAAGAACTCTTGATAATGAAAATATCACCATAGTGCTCAAAATGGAACAGTAATTAATGGAAGTGGTATTTTGGGGGAGTACAGATGACTTGGAATCCAACAACGAGATGTTAAGCAACATTTTCCTGGATCCCACAGTCTAGTCCTATAATGGAAGGCAATATGCCCAGTGATTTTTTTTTTTCATCTACACAAGGGATTCTACGTGTAGAAAACCTGTTAGCTATTTCCATTAGCTTCCACTTATTAACACTGTGGTTTACCAGAACATTCTAAACCTCTCATGTTGGGCAAGTATTTCATTCTATAAAACTTTTAAACCAGAACTATGACAATGAGCAGGGAACCACTTTTCTTTTTCACTTCCCAGGTGGAGGTCTGAATTAGCAGTTAAATGGCCAGAAGGCAGGGAAGAAAAGGGAAACACCAACTCCAAATATCTGACCTGCCAGAAAAACTGACCCTAAGTAGTAAATGACCCAGCATCATTCCATTTGGTTTCTATCATTAAAATTAGTGCCTGGCCTGAGCCAACAGGTGGAGGCTGCAGTGAGCCATGATTGCACCAGTGCACTCCAGCCTGGGTGACAAAGCAAGACCCTGTCTCAAACAAACAAAGAAACAAACAAACAAACAAAAATAGTGCTTGGACAACTTATCTTGTGGGTAGAGCATAAAAGTCTGCATGGAACACTCATTCTCCTCACTGAGTAGGGAATGCCCAACCCCTCACTCATTCAGGAATTCATTTTCATCCCAGACTCCCTGATGTTCTCATCTCTTGCTCACCAAAAACGGACAGGACTGAAGTTTTATTGAGGTCCTAAGCATTATTACTATTGGTTTTTTTTTTTTTGTTTGTTTGTTTTTTGTTTTTTTGAGACGGAGTCTTACTCCGTTGCCCAGGCTGGAGCAGAGTGGCATGATCTTGGCTCACTGCAACCTCCGCCTCCGGGTTTCAAGTGATTCTCCTGCCTCAGTTCCCAAGTAGCTGGGATTACAAGAGCCTACCACCACGACTGGCTAATTTTTATATTTTTTAGTAGAGACAGCGTTTCGCCATGTTGGTCTTGAACTCCTGATCTCAGATGATCCGCCTGCCCAGCATTTATTTTCTATATGAAACTTTCCCAACCAGGGTCTTGTAAGAGTAGTCTTTGGTTTGAACCCCATTCTGACATTTTGACATGTGGTGTCTCCACTGTTGTCAGAGAGTAAATTAACAACAGTTTCTAAGCACAAAATCATTATAAACTTATCACTTTTGTAAATGTGTCACAGCAACACTGACTGTTCTAAGAGAGGGTAAATTCCACAGAAGGGAAGCAGACAGGTAGCATCATTGCACAGCTCACTGGCAAAAGAAGTGCATCGGCTGCTGTCTCCTCCTCTACTCCCCTGGGATCTGAGTGTGGGCATCAAATACAGGATGAACCCCCCTCAACCCCCCTCAACCCCCCTGCTCCTGCAAGAACAACAATAAAAGGCAATAAAATTCCAAGGCCATAGCTTCCCTCCAGCCTCTCCCACACCTCCACTCTCAGCCTCGTGGTTTGCCACACCCTCCCGTGTCTCTGAGGCCTTGGTGCCAACTGCACTTTATGGAGGAGAAGGGGGTGGTAAATAGTTAAAGAGCAGTTACTAGGTCTTGGCAATTTGGATGTAATCTCTTTAAGTCATTCAAACAACTTGTTTTTAAAACACCCAGTGTTTGCCTGTAATCTCAGTGTTTTGGGAGGCTGAGGCAGGAGGATCGCTTGAAGCCAGGAGTTTGAGACCAGCCTGAGCAACATCGTGGAACCCTATCCCGACAAAAAAATTTTAAAAAATTTAAAAATTAGGCATGGTAGTGTGCCTGTAGTCCTAGCTACTCTGGAGGCTAAGGTGAGAGGATCCCTTGAGGCCAGGTATTCAAGGCTACAGGGAGTTATGACTGCACACCAGCCTGGGTGACAGAGTGAGACCCTGTCTCTTAAAAACCAAACCAAACCAAACCAAAACACAGTATTTACCCATGGAGTAATGTGACGGGTAAGGCAGATGTGGTCTGTCTTAGGAAAGGTCTAAGAAAGATATAAATAGTCCTGGCTCCACAGTGGAAATCCAACTCTGTTGACGTGGGTGTACTTCCAGACCATTTTCCCTTTGGACAATCATAGCAGGAAACATTCACATAATGATGGCATCCTAAAGGACAATGCTATCACAAGAACGAACCACAGAAGTTCTCCAGGGGGGGCCTGGAAGCCAAGGCAGGCATAGTCTTGGGTCTGCCACAAACCCAACATCTTGGCTCAGAGACTGTCTTGACCCTCAAATTCCAGCTCCAGGTCTCCAAGTCACCCAGCTTCCCTTGCCCTCTGAGGAGGGCTGTCCTGGGGTGGCTGACTCACCGTCACCTCTTCTGGGTTCCCATGAGCTATTTCCACCACCCTTAGGGCAGGATCCACCTTCACCTTGGCGCGGGACATGAACTGGATGACAGACGAACTGTCCTGTGGAAGAAACAACACAACTTACTTGAAGATTTTTCTATGATAATGGCTGGGCCTTGAGAGGGACTGGGCAGAACTGAAATTCCATGATTCCATGTAGCCCAGACAAAAATTTTATCATTGAACTAGATACCTCTCCATCCCAGGCACCCACATAAACACAGACTAGGGTCTCTCTTAAGGATTCTTTGCAGATCATGGTGGATGGTGGGAAATGATGGAGTTTGCCAGTAATCAACACACGCAAGATGTGTGCTGTGGTTTCCAAGCAGTTAGAGCCAGATATTTGGATATTGATATTGACATGTTCACAAAGAGTTGAGGATAAATAAAGCTGTTTAATTGTGTAGAGCAAATCTAGGCCTGGCATTCCACAGAAGGCATCTGATCTACATTTTATAGGCATCTTCCTGCCTTGACCACAACCCTCAAACCCTTCATATGAGTTGCTTTTAACTCTTTCTTTGCTCTTAAATGAAGTCATTTTGGAATCAAAACCATTAAACATTGAAAGAGGATGCCTGATGGAGAGATGGGGAAGGGGTAAATATCTGGCTTATGAATTAAGGAGAAAGGGGCAGGGGTATAAGGGAGCACAGCTAAGACTCTGGAATCACCCCCCAGCCAGAGGCAGGCAGAGGTCTTCCTGTGGGCTCAGATTCAAAGACACTGATCCAGATAACCAGAAAATGGCGCCAAAACAGGGATGGAGAAAGAATTTGGAAGAAGACAGGGACTGGAAAAACTGTGGTCTGGGGAGAAGCCAGAACCTCAAGCCAGTGGTACAGGTTGATTGTGGAGCAGAAGGGCAGCCTGGCTTCTGTCGTGGAAACAGATAGCAGAGAACTAGTGCATTCAACATTCTACCTGTGGGGCAGGAGGGGCTCCACAGGCAAGGTGTCTTGTGGTGTCCCCACCTACATCTACCCAGCTTGCCTGTCATGCAAGGAGCTTACACTTAAATGCCACCTTTGGTTAAACCCTCAAAGAAACAGGAAGGTAGAGGACTCCACAGAAAACAGTTCCAAGGGTACCCTTTGCTCATCTCTGCCAAAGAAACCACAAAGACCTTCCTGGGGCACACAGGGACCCTGGTCTGTATATGTGACTTGGGAGTTATGCACCAATTATCATTCTTTTCTTAAAACAACCATAAGACACATTTTAAATGCTTTTGGGAAGCTTGTCATTCAAAAGAGTTACTCCAGTTAACTCACTTTAAGCAAGAAATAATTTTAAGCAACAAATAATCTTTTACCAATTTAACAGTTTTATAAAGTTGGGGTTTTATGTATCAGGATATGCTGTATTTTCAATCTTGAATAATAATAATAATCTTGGGCCAGGCACGATGGTTAAGGCCTGTAATCCCAGCACTTTGAGAGACTGAAGTGGGAGGATCACTTGAGGCTAGGAGGTCAAGTCCAGCCTGGGGAAACATCCTATCTCTACAAAAGATTAAAAAAAAATTCACCTGTCATGGTAGCATGTGCCTGCAGTCCTAGCTGAGGACTAGCTGAGGCAGGAAGATCACTTGAGCCCAGGAGTTTGAGGCTGCAGTGAGCTATGATTGAGCCACTGTACTCCCATCTGGGTGACAGAGCAAGATCCTGTCTCTAAAAATATTTTTTTAAATAAAAACATTAAAATAAATAAAAATAAACTTGGATATTAATAACGATAATGATGATGATAATTGCCAACGTTACAGGCCAAGCAGACGAGGAGTCTGGCACAGGATGGGCCCCCACGGTTGTAGAATCAGTGAGAAAAGCCTTACAGACTGAAAGAAGAATACTTCCAAAAAAATCCGAATCCTACGGTGATTTTTTTTTTTTGAGACAGAGTCTCGCTCTGTTGCCCAGGCTGGAGTGCAATGGCACGATCTTGGCTCACTGCAACCTCCACCTCCCAGGTTCAAGCGATTCTTCTGCCTCAGCCTCCCGAGTAGCTGAGACTACAGGTGCCCACCACCATGCCAGGCTAATTTTTGTATTTTTTAGTAGAGATGGGGTTTCACCATGTTGGCCAGGCTGGTCTTGAATTCCTGACCTTGTGATATGCCCACCTCAGCCTCCCAAAGTGCTGGGATTACAGGCGTGAGCCACTGCGCCCGGCTCCTACAGTGATTTTAAAAATCAGATCCTACATTTCAAATGAAAACTTGTTAAGGTCAAAACAGTAAAACCTCAAATTCCCTTGTCTGGGGCCAGATCTTGAGGTCAAAAGGAAAATAAACACGACTGCAGGCCCAGGCAAACCACAAGGCTGGCGCTGCTCCACATCCTTCGGGAGGCCTGGAGCCATGTGGGCTCCACTCCCCAAGGGAGGCTGTAGCTGGCTTCAGGGCAACTGAAGCTCTGGGAGCAGCTGGGGCCCCATCTGGCTTCCAGGTCAACTTTGTTCTAAGCTTTTCTCTGCACCTGGAAGTGCTCCTGGTTTCTGCTGAAAGGGCACATGGAGAATGAGCCTTGAAGGCTTCATATGACACCCTACAGCTTTCAGCTCTCTTGCCTGCGGCTCTACTGGCCTGGCTGGCCCATGGGGACAGTAGTCACTGGGACATGTTCCTTGGCAAAGGGTCACCACTGGCTGCCGGGATAGAAAAGCAGAAGAACCAGGCTGCAGAGCTGTGCATGATTAAGTGCAAATAACTGAAGTGCAAGCAGCAGCCATCTGGGTTGAGGATAAAGGAAACATCAGAGTGGCTTACAGCCACCAGTGCTGTCACCAGGGCTCTATGGACAGTGGCAAGTATGGCACAGGCAATAAAACTGTCTGCAGCACCATTTTTGAAGAATACAAACAGGACAGGTACATATGCAGAGGCATAGTCCTCCAGCCTGGCCTGCGGACACATTTCAGGAAGGTACTTCTCCAGACGTGGGGTTTTCCAGCCTCCCTTATGGAATCAGAGGATGGCCAGTGGTGCTCTAAGTCAGGCCTGGTCCTCCTCCAACACTGTCCTTTATAAAGGGAGAGGTACAAAGGGAGAAGAAAGCACTGCAGTGTGAGTCCAACTTGCCCCAAACCAGTTTCCCTCCAGAGCAAACCAGAGAAACCAGAACTATGCACAGCTCTCTTCAGGTGTGTGAGGGCTGTAACGGCTACAGATTGAAAATGGAAAAACATCCCCTGATGCCTGCATCCTCTCAGGTCAGTGTGTTACCTCTGTGCCTATTTAAAAATAACCACAGAATGACTTTTCTAAGGTTATTCATTCACACGTGGATAGGTTTGTACAGATTAACACATTTAGTCTTTCTAAAGAAAAATAATTGGAATCTCTGAGGCTAACATGCATATTTAGTTTTATCTTCACATGTAATTATTTTTACAGCAACTTGTTGGAAGTGGCCTCTCAGCAGCTCTCACCTTAAAATAAATCATAGGAAATTTGTATGATTCTTCAAGAGCCACCGATGCACTGGTTGAGGTGGTTTTTTAATGAACCACCTGTGATAAACTCATAATAGCAAAGTGACCTGAGGTTCAAAAGTTGGACCAAAACAAACCGTCATTTAAACTAGGACTCATGGGTCAAATCTGGCCCTCTGCCTGTTTTTATAAAGTTTTACTGGATCACAGCCATGCCCATTTATTTGAGTGTTGTCTATGGCTGCTTTCACAATACAATGGCAGAGTTGAACAGTTGCAAGAGACTGTAGGGCCTGCAAAGCCTGAAATATTTACCACTGGCCCTTTACAGAAAAGGTTAGCCAACCTTCATCCAAAGCGAGGTCCCTAGACTGCAGGACTGGCATCACCTGGGTGCTTGTGGCAACTGGAGAGCCTCAGACTGCACCCCAAAGGAATCTGTGTTTGAACAAGATCTCCAGGTGATTCTGATGCAAGCTAAAGCATGAGAAACTTAAATGGCCAAACAAAATCCCTGGGGAATGTGTTAAAAATGAAGATGCCGATTTATTAAGTCTGGGGTGGAGCCCAGGATTCTGCATTTCTAAGAAACTCTCAGGTGATGCTGATGCTGCTGGTCCTCGGACCACACTTTGAGTAGCAAGGGTCTGGTATTTTACCCTGGCATTATCTACCAGCAAAATTACCAATGGCACTTGCTGGAAAAGTTTCAAAAGGGGCAGCCAGACTATTACTAAACAGTTCAACAACAACAACTACAACAACAGATGTTGGTGAGGATGCAAAGAAAAGGGAACACTTATACACTGTTGATGGGAAGATAAATTAGTACAATCAAAAAAGCAGTATCGAGATTTCTCAAAGAACTAAAAATAGAACTGCCATTCCATCCAGCAATCACACTAATGGGTATATACCCAAAGGGAAAGAAGTATTGTATAAAAAATATACCTGCACTGGTAAGTTTATTGCAGCACTATTCACAACAGCAAAGATAGGGAATCAACTTAAGTGTCCATGAATGGATGACTGGTTATAGAAAATGTGGTATATATATATATATACACACACACACACACCATGGAATATTACTCAGCCATAAAAAAGAATTAAATTATGTCTTTTGCAGCAACATGGATGGAAATGAAGTCCATTTCCCTAAGTGAAATAACTCATAAGTAGTCAACTACTGCATGTTCTCACTTATAAGTGGGAGCTAAGTAATGGGTACCCATAGGCATAAAGAGTGGAATTAACAGACATTGGAGACTCCAAAATGTGGGAGGGGGGTGAGGGTTGAAAAGTTACCTGTTGGGTACCATGTTCACTATTGGGTACACTAAAAGCCCAGATTTCATCACGATACAATATATTCATATAAGAAGTCTGCACTTGTACCCCCTAAATACATAAAAATAAAAACAGTCTCTTGTAGACAGCCAAAAGGGGGGGCAGCCAGATTGTCATGAGGACACCAATTCAAATGCTTTCCTTTTTCCTTTTTTTTACCCAAAATCAGATGTCAACAATTCAAATGCTTCTAAATGCATCCACAAGTGCGGTTCATTAGGGCTTACCTTTTTCAGTATTTCTGTGTTCAGCAGCATGTAAATGTCTATAGTACGACTTTCTTCTTTAGCAAGAGCACTAAAGTTACAGTGTGCTGTTAGGCAAGAAATTCCTGGTTTTTCACAGTCCTGAGAAGAAAAGTCAGAAAAATTTCCAATGGAATTAAGAACAAAGACAAATCCACAACAATTTACAGAGTAGTGGGCTCCATGAACTTGGTGACTAAGGCAATTCCAGGCAGAGGAAATCCACAAGAAGATGCAATCGTTCTTTCTCGCCACCAGAGGGCATTCAAGGGATTTCCCACCCAGTGGGAACCAGAGCATGCCTTTAAGTCAAGCAACTGGGAGAAAACAGCTCACTAATTTATCCTACCAAGAATTGGATGAATTCACAAAGAGAAATAATTGTTTTTTTTTTTAAACCCACAAACTTAAATTTTGCATTCTGAAAGCATTCTTATGAGTTTTGAACACAGACACGTTTCCTACATTATGTGACTTCCACCTGTGTAGTGGCAAATATACTTTCATGCCTATTTATTAGGTAGGTGAATAAGAGGGCTAAGAAGTCATGTGACACTTCCTCAAGAAAACACAAAAGTTACAATAGAGACGTAAATCTCGGCTGGGCGCAGTGGCTCACGCCTGTAATCCCAGCACTTCGGGAGGCTGAGGTAGGGGGGTCACCTGAGATCAGGAGTTCAAGACCAGTTTGGCCAACATGGTGAAACCCTGTCTCTACAAAAAATACAGAAGTTAGCCAGGCATAGTGGTGGCCGCCTGTAGTCCCAGCTGCTGGGGAGGCTGAGGCGGGAGAACTGCATGAACCCGAGAGGCAGAAGCTGCAGTGAGCCGAGATCATGCCACTGCACTCCACCCTGGGCGACAGAGCAAGACTCCATCTCAAAACAAACAAACAAACAAAAAACCAAAAACATAAATCCCAAATTTAAGTTACAAAAGTTTTCTTTTTTATATGATAGGTTCCAAAATGCGTATACATACCTTGATGATGTTTCATCTATACGGCAAAATTTTCAGCCAGACAGAGTCGTAACTATAAAATCACTAGGTATCACTACATCTAACAAGTCTAAGGGCTTTCAACAATATCACCCTCACTATGTAAGTAAAAAAAAAAAAAAAAAAAAAAAACCCAACCTTTCAAGTGGCAAACAGTCACCCTTCTCCAACAGGAGAAAAGAATGAGAAAGGAAATGATAAAGGTGAGATGTGCCAGGGCTGAAATAAGGAGCTTAGAGAAATGTAACCAAAGATAAAAAAAAGGAGGCTTTGGAAAGCATTGTCATTCCATCTTCAATACCTGCACTTTTTAAAAATGGAGGTGTAACAAATATAGTAAATAGAACAAATCTGAAGTGTGTGTCTTTATAATTTTTTTTTTTTTTTGAGACAGAGTCTTGCTCTGTTGCCCAGGCTGGAGTACAGTGGCACGATCTTGGCTCACTGCAACCTCTGCCTCCCTGATTCAACCGATTCTCCTGCCTCAGCCTCCCTAGTAGCTGGGATTACAGGCGCCCACTACCACATCCAGCTAATTTTTGTATTTTTAGTAGATACAGGGTTTCACCATGTTGGCCAGGCTGGTCTCAAACTCCTGACCTCAGGTGATCCACCCCCTCAGCCTCCCTAAGTGCTGGTATTACAGGCATGAGCCACCGTGCCCGGCCTGTCTTTAAAAATTTTTACATGTGTTTATACCTGGAGGACTACCACCCTGATTAGGATGTAGGACATTTCCAGCATCTAAGCAGGCTCCCTCATGCCCCATCCCATCCACATTCCTCTGAAAGTAACCACCTTCTTGACCTCTATCATCATGATTAGTTTTTGCTATTTCTGAACTTCGTATAAGTGAAATATTACAATATGTGGCTTTTGTCTCTAGCTTCTTCCACTCAATATATTCTGTCTGTGAGATTCATTCATTAGCAGTAGTTTGTTATTTTTCATTACTGTGTAATATTCCAGTGTATGGATATACCACAATTGCTTACTTATTCTCCTATTGATGGATATCTGCATTGTTCTCAGCTTTCAGCTATTTTAACATTTCTGTGAGCATCCTTTTTCATGTCTTTTCTGGGAAGCACAAGTACTCATTTTTCTTGGGGATATACTCAAGAGTAGAATGGCTGTGTCATAGGATACACACGTTTTGTTTTAGTAGATATTATCAAACAGTTTCCCAAAATGTTTGCACAAGAATAATCACTCTTGTTTAGACTCATTCTAGTGGAAGAAACATTTTACTTTGTGCTTGGTGGGTTGCAAAGATTTATCCCTTTTCCAGGTAATAGGATTTGGAATGTAAATTTAACATTTTGATTGAAACCTCAGACTGAAAATTAGGAGTTGACCACAGTCTGTGCCTTTGTAAGTCAAATTGATTAAAACCAGATTTAGGAAATAATAAATATCAAATAGAAAACTGGTGTCTTCCGAGTGAGGACCACCCGTGTTACCCCAACCACTAAACAAATCCTTACCAAGACTTTTCTTCCAGACTTTGTGAAAAAAGCAAATATTGTGTGGAAGATATTTTCTTGTTCTTGAGGGATGATGCAGGGAGTTGGGTTTTTCTGGAAAGAGCAGTTTCCCTTCTCTTGGCCCACCTGCAAATGAAAAGAGGCCTGTCAGAGGAGTCATTCTCAAGAATGAATCATGATGCTGGAGCCTCTTATTGTAGAGGCAGGAGTGGTAGAACCCCAATTCACCTTTCCTCCTTGTCCATTTTGAAGTGGAGAACAATGGCTGAAAAGCTGAAAGGCAGAAGTTGTAGCATCAACAGGGCCAAATAATAGAAAATGTGGATCTTAGGTCCCCCAATAATTGATGAGATGGCATATAACATGCAAATGAGATGTGACTAGGAAATAGGAAGACTTAAGGAGTAAAATAAGCCTTATACTCCATGGTTTTGAAAGCACACTTAAGAACATCCTTACAAGCAATTCTTGTCTGAATGAGGAAAATGAGACTGAACTTAGGTCACTGGCCAACAGTCATGGAGTCAAGAACCCAGGTCTGGAACTTGGGACCAAGCCTGATGGATGATCTGCTGCCAGAGGTTTTCAACCATTCTAGAAAGCCCCCACGGTGCTGTAAAACTCCTTAGGGGTCCTTCTAGAGAAAGGGAATGAGCAGCAAGCAGGACTGCTCATGGTCCAACTCTAAAGCCAGAGTTTTGCTACCAAAAAAATAACTGACCAGTCTCTGCCCTGAGCCAGACGGGGACCTGCATGCTTGCCGAGCTCTTGGTGAGTGATTTGATTTTGCTTCTGACAGCAATGGCAACGGTGCTGAGTGACAGCAACATCAGAAACAAAACAATGGTGCTTAGTCTTTCTTGATGATTTCCTTAAGAACAGCACTCTTTCTGATGTTTAAATTGAGGAACTGTTAGAAAAATGAAGTCTTCTTTATATATCACCATATCACACTGGTTGTAGCTGAAGGCTGGACAGGATGTGAGGTTAAACCAGAAAATTAATAATTAGTAATTCATAATTTAGAATTGTGCTTACAATCCCATGGCTAACCACAGGCATCTGTTAAATTGCCCTGTCTATAATGCCCTTGAGTAAAATATAGTTGTTCAAGAATGTTTCAACTTTTTATTCATGGTAGGGAACAAAAACTTTTTTTGCTGTTGGTTTTTTTTTAACTTTTATTTTATGTTTGGGAGTACATGTGCAGGTGTGTTATATAGGTAAACTTGTGTCATGGAGGTTTTTGGTACAGATTATTTCATCACCCAGGTACTAAGCCTAGTACCCAATAGTTATTTTTTCTACTCCTCTCCCTCCTTCCAACCTCCATTCTCAAATAGACTCCAGTGTCTGTTGTTCCCTTCTTTGTGTTCATGAGTTCTCATAATTTAGCTCCCACTTATCATTGAGATCATGTGATATTTGGTTTTCTGTTCCTGTGTTAGTTTGCTAGGGATAATGGCCTCCAGCTCCATCCATGTTCCTGCAAAGGGCATGATCTCATTCTTTTTTATGGCTGCATAGTATTCCATGGTATATCTGTACAACATTTTCTTTATCCAATCTGTCTTTGATGGGTATTTAGGTTGATTCCATGTCTTTGCTATTGTGAACAGTGCTGCAATGAACATTCATGTGCATGTGTCTTTACGGTAGAATGATTTATATTCATTTGGGTATATATATACCCAGTAATGGGATGCTGGGTTAATTGGCAGTTCTGCTTTTAGCTCTTTGAGGAATAGCCACACTGCTTTCCACAATGGTTGAGCACATTTATACTCCCACCAACAGTGTATAAGCATTCTCTTTTCTCCAAAACCTCTCCATCATCTGTTGATTTTTGACTTTTGCTTTTTTTTTTTTTTTGAGATGGAGTCGCTCACTGTTGCCCAGGCTGGAGTGCAGTGGCGCGATCTTGGCTCACTGCAAGCTCCGCCTCCTGGGTTCAAGCCATTCTCCTGCCTCAGCCTCCCGAGTAGCTGGGACAACAGGCACCTGCCACCATGCCCGGCTAATTTTTTTTTGTATTTTTAGTAGATATGGGGTTCACCGTGTTAGCCAGGATGGTCTCCATCTCCTGACCTCATGATCCGCCCGCCTCGGCCTCCCAAAGTGCTGGGATTACAGGCATGAGCCACCGCACCAGGCCAATTTTTGACTTTTTAATAATAGCCATTCTGACTGGTATGAGATGGTATCTCACCGTGGTTTTGATTTGCATTTCTGTAATGACCAGTGATACTGAGTTTTTCACATGCTTGTTGTCTGCAGGTATGTCTTCTTTAGAAAAGTGTCTGTTCATGTCCTTTGCCCTCCTTTTAATGGAGTTGTTTTATTCTTGCAAATTTAAGTCCCTTATAGATGACAGAGATCAGACCTTCGTCAGATGCATAGTTTGCAAATATTTTCTTCCATTCTGTAGGTTGTCTGTTTACTCTGTTGATAGTCTCTTTTGCTGTGTAGAAGCTCTTCAGTTTAATTAGATTCTATTGGTCAGTTTTTGCTACACAAATAAACTAAAGCTAACAATGCTAATCTATTAATAGTGAATTATAAAACAAGACCACCAAAATTTGCTAAATTTATCTCTATTTTATCTTTGATCTGAATACATTCCAGGATTTACTATATATGTCTGAAAATAAATAAGGTGAAGGTTTATATCCTCAAGTTAAACTATTAGAAAAGAGGATGTTGCCTATAAAAGTTTCTCACAGTTTGGGACTTACTGTCCTTTAAAATTTAAGTGTCTAATAATTTGGAAATTTTGTTTTTTGTTTTTTGTTTTTTTTTTGGAGACAGGGTCTCTGTCTCCCAGGCTGAAGTACAGTAGTCCAGCTCACTGCAGCTTCAACCTCCTGGGCTCAGGTGATCCTCCTTCCTCAGCCTCCTGAGTAGCTGGGACTATAGGCACATGCCACCACACATGGCTAGTTTTTGTTTTGTTTTGTTTTTTGCTGGTTTCTTTTTTTTTTTTTTGGTAGAGATAGAGTTTTGCCACATTACCCAGGCTGGTCTCGAACTCCTTAGCTCAAGCAATCTGCCTGTCTTGGCCTTCCAAAGCACTGGGATTATAGGCATGAGCCACTGCACCCAGCCTCAATTACTTTATTTGAACGACAACATTTGGGGAAAACACACTAGCCTGAAATGATCTCAATCAACATCAGGTCTGGACGATTTTAGAGGTCACGAGAGGGAAACAATGGGAAGGAGGCAATGAGCTTTAATGAAGATTTGGTAATTATTCCTTGGGTTCAATTGTTGAAAGTTGCAATAAATATTTGAAAGCCCATTTTAGAAAGCAATACGTAAGCTGTTGATGTGGGGAGCAGCATGAATATTCACTTGCAAGACAAATGAGGAAAACAACTGCTGCAGTGCTACGCAAGTGGGCGTTGGTGTGTGCCAATCAAATTTCAGCACCAACATGGATTCAAGAAGTTCTGCATTTCAACTAAATTAGGCAAATTGTAGATGATATATTCTGGTAAACTGCTGACTAAAAATGTGGCTTAGAAATGAAACCCATCAATCTCAGAAGATGCACACTTGGATAAAATTATTGTGTGAAACATAAGAATGAAGAGTATTATAGATTAATATATCATTCTTATAAAATTTTAAGCATTCAACCACATGATTAAGTTAAACATTATACACAGATAGTTGATTATTTCTTCATTTCTCCAAACTTCTTTTTATTGAGGTAAATTTACAGGCATTAAAATCCACAGATCTAAAGGGTGCAGTTTGATGAATTATGTCACCCAGTAACTACCACCCCCATGAAAGTACAGAACTTGTCTCTCACTCCAGAAAGTTCCCACCAGTCCCTTGCCAGTCAATTCCCACTGCCCACTCCCCCCACCTCAAAGGCAATCATAGTTCTGATTCCTATTAAGTTGGCAAAAAAAAAAAGAGAGTTAAATTTATCTAATTAGGGAAATGGAGGATGTGCTATTTGGGGCTTGCCCTATATTTAGGCATATATAGTACATTGTGGATGGAAAATATTTATGTTTATTGGGCGTTTGAGAATCCGAATGTGTGTAGTTGTGCTCTTAATATCCATCACTTTTTCACTCCAAAGCCTGTAGGTCTCCAAATTCCCTGTCTGTCTTCTGGAGTGGACATCTGCTGACAGACCGCTGGAAACTGTTTTCTGCAGCCCTGTGGCATGCACATTCCTCTGCTGAGATTACGAGGCCTGGCCACCCAAACACATTTGGTCTGGGTTTAGAGAAACAGAACCTCTGAGCCCTGCAGGATGCATCCATCCCTCATTAAAATCAGGCGTGGGAGCAGAGTTCCTCCTTGCTCTGCACATCGGTGCTTCAGGTTTCTAGGCAGGGAGAGGAAGCTTGGGAGCAGAGCTCCAGCCCAGCCAGTGTTGCTAATGTGCTTCAGGTGTGAAGAGCTAGCACTGTCATCTGGCCACAAGACGCCAGCGGAGAGGGGCAGGGAGCTGGGAAAGGCAGGGCAAGCGAGTGAGAAACAGCCTAAGCCTCAGTGTCAACCCCAAGGGGCAGAGTCACAGCTCAGAAGTTAGTTTCTGTCTCCCGCCGGGAGTTTCTGGGGTGGCCTGTGAACAGGGTAATGGCGATGGCGTGATGTGATGCAATGTGACACCTCATCTGCCCCTGGTGGGATCTGGAAAGGGGAAATGAGGACTGAGTCTGCGGTGAATGAAAATCTTGGCCAGTTGTGCTCCCGACTGTGGTTACATGGGAATCACTTCAATCGGGGAAAGCAACGTTTTTCTGAAAGGTTCAGGGTGGTCCCCTTTCAAAAGGAGATTGAAGGTTGCCTGGTGCTACATAAGTCTGATTCAGACCAGCTAATCCTATTGCAGTCACACCTTCAGTCCTCAGCTAAAACTCAGGAACTCAGTACCTACCAAGGGTCATCAAGGTGGAGGGAGGCGGTCCTCTAAGTGTGTTGAACAGGTACCAATGTGACAGCCATGACAACGGCACCTAACACTTGCATGGCCCTTACTGCACGCCAGGCTCTCGGTGCTTTCCACACATTAACATTCAGTCCTCACAGCAGTTCCCTGAAGCAGGTGCTATTACTGTCCCCACATTTTTGTTTTTTTTTTGAGATGGAGTCTTGCTCTGTTACCCAGGCTGTAGTGCAGTGGTGCGATCTTGGCTCACTGAAACCTCTGCCTCCTGGGTTCAAGTAATTCTCCTGCCTCACCCTCCCCAGTAGCTGGAATTACAGGCACACGCCACCATGCCTGGCTAAGCTTTTTGGATTTTTAGTAGAGATGGGGTTTCACCATATTGGTCAGGCTGGTCTTGAACTCCTGACCTCAGGAGATCCACCTGCCTTGGCCTCCCAAAGTGTTGAGATTACAGGTGTGAGCCACAGCCCCTGGCCTACTGTCCCCATTTTACAGATGGAGGCAAGCTGAGAGGCAACAGGAGGCCCAATTACAACCAGAGGCTCCCCAGGTAGCAGGCCACAGAACTGGGCTGGGACACACGTCACACAGCTGCAGACATCTGCTTATCACCACTTTCCTGCACTACCTCTTAGGTGGAAGCTGAGGATGGGGCTGGGGCAGGAGTCACAGAGGAGTAGAGGTGGAGGGAAAGCTTCCTTTCCTCTTACTGTGGTCAGAGGAAGAAACCACTAGCCTGGAAACCTCAGCATTCTCCAGCCTGACCCATTTCCACCACTGTAGCAAAAAAAAATGACTCCTGCCTAGACCATGGGAGACAAAAGTGCCTGCTGACTGAGAAGAGGCCTATTCTGCACAGTCTCTTGGGCTGGAAGGGGGGAACAGAGCATTCTGGAATGTTGTTTCTGGAAGGCAGCTGCGAGATCATGCAGTCCTTGTGGCCTCAGCTGACAGATAAGGAAACAGAGGTCCCCGAGTTCAGCGACTTGTCCAAGGTCATGTCCGGGCCCCAGTGAAGTTCTGTGGTACAGACGCTCTTGATGAATACTCAATAGTCCTGGCTTCAGCCCTAGCTCTGCCTGCTAACAGCCGTGCCAGTTTGGGTCTCCAGGGCCTCAGTTTCCTCATCTACACATGAGGATGTTGGCCCATGTAGTCACTCAGGTTGTCCTTAGTTGCTAATTCCTCACTTCATGAACTGTCTGTGCATTTTCATTACAGCAGGGGACTACCTTATCTCATCACACAGATAAACAATTACTGACTATCCATCCTCCCACAACTTGGTTTTAACCGCACTCTTTGCTCAAAGTCAAGGGGACATGATGCTTTTTTCATGTGTTGCAGACAACCCAAGCATCCCCGGCCAATGACCAACAATGTCATTTCCTTGGCTGGCTAAGGACTCTGTGGCCATCGCCCCCTTGCTCTTCTCTGCCCAGTCAGTCCTCATTTATTTCCCAGGCTACCGGAGTCCAAATGCTTCTCATGACATGGCTGCTTATCTCTCAGGGCCTCTGGGAGCTGGCAGAGGTCCATGGCTATTAGAATTTGAACAAAAGGACTTCACCAGGCACCCAAACAAGGAAAGGAGGATGCAGGACACAGTGACAAGGCTGTATTCTACCAAGGCAGGTACTGAGGGTTTTCTGTTGGCATCTGTCCTCCCCTTTACCCCAAAGAGGACATTGTGCAAACTGAAACCATGAAATGGTGGTGACTGGGGAAGCTGTCAGGAACCCTGGCTGTGGGAGCCCAAGGAGTGGCCATCACTTGGTGGCAGAGTCTGGGTCAGCCTCAGTGAAAGGAGCTGTCATGGTCAGAAGCCACCACGGTGCCAGGCCTGTGAGAGGATAAAGAATCCCCTGTTCACTCTAGGGGATCTGGCAAGACCTTGCTTCATGAAGTAGTGGGTTTGAAGTGTGAATCAGGGCTGATTCCATAGGTGTGATACTGAGAAAGAGAGCAGACCCTTTGTTTCAAATGTTGTCGTCATCTGATCCCAGGTGGAGAAGGGAAGTCAAGAGCTGTTACTTTCCAGGCTGAGGTGGTCAGATAAACGGCTTGGAGGAAATGGCATTTCCATGTTGTAGGCTCAGTCAGGCACTTCTAAGAGTTGTCTGTTGACTCAGAGCAAGAGAGAGGACACAGGTTTCCTCCCACAGGGCCCCAAACAGAGCAGCCAAACACAGTCCCTGTGCCTGGGTTTGAACACTGAAGAGGCAGAAAAGTCCTCTGATCTTTTTTCTAAGTGTCATGCTCCAAGCACATCATCCTGGGAAATCGCTTATGGTCCCATCTCTATACTGAGTTCAGATATCAATGGAAATAATACAATATTAGGTGCTATTAGTATGTTAGAGAACGGCATATGCTGAATCCTTACGGCACCCATGTGTGGAGGGTACTGCTCTCAGAAGGGTGACCATATAATTTATTGTCTAAACTGGGACATTTTTGAGGTTCAACCAGCTAGAACAGCAGCACAGAGACATTTATCAGGGATGTGACAGATAAGCTTTAACTTCTGCTCTCCTTAAATTCCACCCCTTTTTACAGATGAGAAAACTGAGGCCCAGAGAGGTTAAGTAACCTGTCATGTCTGAGAAGCACATCTCGAAAATCCCCACCAGGATGCTCTGTCCCACTCCATCTTCCTTGCACCAGGCTGCATAGTAGCTATTCCACATACTGAAGCCCAAACACCACCTGACCACCACCTCACTGTTTATCCATTCGCAGCCCCTCAGAGCACAGCTCCTAATGAGATTATAAATCTTGTCTACAAATTTCTCCCTCCACCAGGAAGTCAGCCCCTCTCATATCTGACCCAGAGGAAGTGGCATTGCAGGTAGATCGCAAAGGATAAAGAAAACTTCTCAGGAGTAAAGGGAGGAGGGAGAAAGGAATTCCAGGAAGAGAACAGCATGTGCAAAAGCATAGAGGGGCAAACTTGAGACTGGAGTCTAGAGAGCCAAGGAGTTCAACACAGGTCAAGCACTGGATGAATGCTGGGTAGCAGTGGCCAGAACTGAGGCAGGGGAGATGGGCCTGGACACAGAGGAGGGCATGTGACAAGTCTTACACATGGCGTGGGTGGAGGTAGTTACCCAGAAGGTAATAGGAACCAGGGAAAGCTTTGAAGTAGGAGAATGTGTGAGAATGTATGATTTAGATCATGTGGATTAACGTCGCTCAAAATTAAAGAAATAATTTGCAGCTTTGGTATGTGATATTTTTAGCTTTTTTTTTTTTTTTTTTGAGACAGAGTTTTGCTCTTATTGCCCAGGCTGGAGTGCAATGGTGCAATCTCAGCTCACCACAACCTCTGCCTTCCGGGTTCAAGCGATTCTCCTGCCTCAGCCTCCCGAGTAGCTGGGATGATGGGTGTGTGCCACCATGCCTGGCTAATTTTGTATTTTTAGTAGAGATGGGGTTTCACCATGTTGGTCAGGCTGGTCTCAAACTCCTGACCTCAGATGATCCGTCCACCTCGGCCTCCCAAAATGCTGGGATTACAGGTGTGAGCCACCACGCCTGGCCTATTAGTATATTTTTAACAGGCAGAAGCATAGATGCCTCTACCAGTTTGCCATTTTACCAGTACGAACCCCATCAGCTGGCTGGGGTTCCAAGGATAGGGAGGGTCACCAAAGTGTCCATGGCTTGATGCCCCTTGAATGCGTGCATCACCAATCAAAGGAAAATGGAAGATTAAATTAGCAGAGGAACAAACTGAATGACAGTAGTGTTCCCCATGAGCCACGGCTGGAGTCATCCCCAGTGTGGTTTTTGGGTAAAAAAAAAAAAACCTAAAAGGTATGATCTAAAAGCTATGTTTGTTGAATTGGCTTGGGTTAAAAGGGACCTAGGTTCATTTTAGAATAACATGTGTTTCCTGTTAACTCACGTTTCTGTGTTATTCATTGACTTTATGTTCTCAGTTACATCCCTGGGCCACTTTTCCATATCATATTACACCAATCGCAGCTGACGGCAACCGGGTAAACATGACCCACCCCCTGACTTATCGCCTGCTTCTCTGAAGTCACACGCTCCTTGAGTTTGAAAACTCAGAGAATGTTTTGAATGTCTACTTTGCTAATTCAATTACCCATTGCCTACTCTGAGAACCAAGGCATCAAAAGACAGTAAGCCCCTATTCCGGCACAGGCGGCTGAACACATACTACAATGGCTGTGGTGACATTAATTTTAGGACTTCAGGGTTTGAAATAAAGATAGTAGTCATACAATAACTGAGAAATGATACCAGCTGGTTGATTAGCCTGACCTAAGGTGTCTAGTTCTAGAAAGATAAATAAGATAGCTTCATATTATCCATCTAGAAAAATGCAAACCATGATTCATGGTTGCTTAGCAGCCTTAAAGAGCCCTTCAAATTATATCTCATGTTAAATCATGTTGCTATGATTTACTATTGAGTATTTCTTCATATTGACCAAAGACTAAAATATAATAATATTAATGAATCCTAGGACAAATACTTTCACGTATCACCATTCATTTCAAGACCCTGTAATAATGCAGACTCAGGATAACCTACAAAGGGTGGATGCTCACAGGCTCTGTTCATTTACTCTAATTTTTCAATTGCAATGACACTATTTAATATAAGGCCAGAGAAACAGCAATAATGATCTTAGATTGCTCCTTAATATGAACATGGCTAATTTCATGCTACTCGTGTGTGCATCACCCCATTTGAAGGTAATGAGGAGTTTTCAATGGCATTCTTTGGGAGATCCTTCTGAAGAATGATGGTCTTTTGCTTTGTGAAAAGAGACCCCGTGTTCATTAGTGCACCAAATTTGGATTTTCTGATATTTACCCCTCTGTGTAGCTAGTGGTTCCAAGGTGTTTATTTAAGGACAAAAATCCAAAAAACAGAAACAGTCTGATGATCACAACAACATAAGCTAGGCTAATATGAGGGGCTCTGGCTTTGGACAGTCCCTGCTAGCTTCAGTGTTCAAATAAAGAGTTCTGTCTTTGAACCGAAACGGGTAAACAAAATCACATGACAGCCCACTCCAAACCTGCAGAGCTGGGGATAGAGCAGGTGGAGCAAGAAGTTAAAGAATGACCTAGTATCACTTAAGCACAGAAAGGAAAAGATCGTAACTTTAACTCTAGATGTCTTCTCCCTTTCTAACTGAAAACTGTCTTCTAAATAAAATACTTGCTTTCTCTAACCCTTTCCCCATCCCTTAAGGCAGTCATCCCTGTGAAAAGTGGTATGGAGTCTGAAAAGGTCAGGGTGTTACTGAGATCAAATCTGAAACTGAAAATAAAGGGGCAAAGCCTCCAGACCAACGTTTCAGAGGAAAGGTTGAGTATAATCCAATGCACAGCCTCTGTATGAGGCTGCCATTATTTCATGAACAATTTCACTTCTCATGATAAAAGCCAGTGGATTTCATTTCCATCAGCTTTAGGGTTTGGCTAAAACAATGCCCCTGCATCCTCCCCTCCTCCCTCTTCCTTTGCGTGTGACAGGCCAACATGCTGGAAAGTCAAGAGTGCAGGCCACCACCACCAGGCTGCCCTGTAAAACGGGATGGGCTTTAATTAATTTACATGTAATCAGAGAAAGACAAGTTCCCCAGACAAAGCCCATTTCCCAGGCATGGGGATGGCCTTTTATTGGAGTTAAAGCGATACAGATGGGAAGTAGTCTGAGAGAGGCAGTGACACAAAAGAATTTCCAGATGCCGTCAGATTCTCTTTAGTGAAAAAGCGATACATAAATATGTTATCTGAGCACTTGACATGCATACCAAAAATGTTTTCCTTCCACAGATAATGAAATATTTTGGAAGCAGAATGGTCTGTTGATTTGGGTAATAAATGAGTGAATAGCCCCCATATGAGACAAAACATGGTCCTTGGAATTGTATCTGCTTGTTTAAATTCTGGTTCTAGCTCTTGGACCCATCTTAAGGTAAAGAATGAAGCTCAGACCCATCTTCCCTTAAAGGCTAAAGCAGCACACCTATTCACTGGGTTGTCTCTGCATTTCCTGCATATATTGCTTTATTAGTTCCCTTTTATCAAAGGGTAAATCACACTCATTTTCTGGATGCCATGATTCCTACATCACCATCTATCTAACCTCTTCCACTGCTTTTCTGAGAGTACATACACCAGAGCAGTGAAAAGTGAAACCTCAGTGTCCTTCATTAAGTCTCAAGTTTCAAGGACTTCATGGGAGGCCTGAAATATGCTTTAGGTCATAAGTTTAGATTAAAGAGAAGTAAGTGAGGTTGGCTCCCTGACAGCTGGGGAGATCATTACTTCTCAGCGTCTAACAACATTGAGGCAGTTCTTTTTGGTCTGAAGAAACTTGGGGTGTATGTCAGAAAAGCGTTTTCCTGTTTTTGCGCTTCCGAAGCATACACAATTAGTCCTTGGCAGGTTAAATGAGAACCATGTGTTTCTCGGCAATGGCCGATGAGCCCTGTTTATCCTCAGTGAGATTTCCTGTTATCGACTTTGGTAACAACCCATCACCCCTGCCATGGCAAGGCTCTGTGTCATGTTGCTTTTAAGGAATGAACGTAAGCAAACTCCTCACCACCAACTTTTGACGCCTATTCATGTAGCAGACCAGAAAACACCAGGCACCTACGCATCGGCATTCAACTAGCCTACATGCTGGCAACAAAGTGTTAATGCTTCCAGATGTCACAGCAGCTGTGAGCACAAGACATTTGGGCTCCTTGATAAGGCCGGGCGCCTTCAGTCAGCAGGGAGACAGCACTGCTGGCTTGATTTATTCTCTCTGGCCACACAGGTTAAAGGGCAGCCTCTGAACCACACTCTGTACGGACAGCCGGGACTGAAGCTTACCCCCACCTTCCAGAGGGTGTGTGTTGAGTGTAACTTGTGCACAGAAACACACACGCTTTCTCCCTCTAGCCAAGCTCAAATTAACCAAGAGCCTAGGAATGTAACTTTTGTTCCAGAATTCAATCAGCCATCTCCCTTCTTTTAAGTGTTTGGCTTCTGTTGAGAAAAAGATTTAAGGCAAACCTAATCCTGACCCATTTCAGGAACTTGACTATTCAGCTTGCATTCATACATGTGCAGAAAGAAGAAAATGCAAAAGAAAAAGAAAAGAAAGTTTAGGGCCATTACTGAGATCAGCAGTGTCTGTGTGAGAGAAACTGAGGGGGAAGGAAATATGTGTTCAAATCCCTGACCAAAGTTTGTAGAGTTTAAATTTGCTCTAAGAAGCTTTCGTTTCTGATAAGTAATTCAATCTCTTATTTCAAAATTTCACCTTCTTATTCTCACATTGAAATTAAGGCAACCTCTGCCATGGGTTAAAGGAATTTGTTCAAAATATTCCTACTGGGCGATCTCAAGTAGAGATGGGGGGATGTCCTGGAGCCAATCCCCAGGAGATACAAGGGGTGACTGTGTGTCTGAGGATGCCACTAACAGAGTGGAAGCAGCCATTTCTTTCATTTGTCTCACCACTCACTATGGTCTCGGCACCAAATGCTGCAAATACACAGAAAATAAGGACCTTGCCCTTTACTCTCATGGTGTTTTTAATCTGGTGGAAGAAGACTGATGATAAGAGAGTAATTTCACATAGTGACAAGTGCTATGAAGAAAACAACATACAAATGAGATAGAGAGTAATGGGGGTTTGCAACTTTAGGTAAAGTGTTCAGGGAAGACTTATTGAGAAAGTGAACTCTGGGCTCAGATCTGCATAATAAGAAGGAGCCAGCTATGCAAAGATTGGAGGGAACAGTGTTCTCAGCAAAGGCAGGTGCAAAGGCCCTGAGGCAGGGCCATCTGTGAAGGCATCTGGGAAGCCTTGACAGAGAGGACATATGAACTGGGTCTTGAAGAATGAGTAGCTTTCCACAGCCAGAGGGGAGGAGAAGTCACTAGCAAGGGCAGGGGGCCCAGGGAAGTACAAAGTGAGAGCCTTCAGCAGCATTCATGGTCCAGGGAGGCTGGAAGACAAGGTCAGGGATGAGGGGCTATTGGAGAAAATGGCCTGGAAAGTTGGGTGGGAGGGAACGCCGGGTTTTGGACCTATGGCTTTGGCCATTAAGATTTCCTTGATTTTTTTTTTTTTTTTTTTTTTTTTACTGAGAATCTCGGAGTGTTTCTGAGCATTATACGGATAAATTATTAGGACTAGAAGTTGGTGTAGAGAAATTATTAGGACTAAAGTTCTCAGATAGTAAACCAGGTCCTTACTTCCTGAGTGATAATGATTCATGATGAGGAGGGGTTGGATGAAGAGGCACAGGATTTGCTGCTCAGTTTTGAATTTTTATTTGGAGAATATGGAGAGAGCAAAGAGGACACCCTAGGATGGGAAAGAAAATTAAAGGAATTGTAATCTTTTTTGGAAGAGAAGGGGGAAGTCAAGGTAATAGCTCAACTTCTCTACATGAGGGAACTAGGCAATTATTTTTCATTTTAGCTAAGAAAGGGTCATGGGGCATGGAGAATTGTGGATAGTCATAACAAGGGATTTGAGGGATACCAGAATGGCTTAACAAAGAGAACTTGCTGGAAAAGCAGTTCTGTGTACTGGGGAGACATCTCGATTGTATTCTGTCCAAAGGTAGAGGGTTGGATCATATAATCCCCCAAATCCACCTCTTCCTACATGAGAGGGGTTTCTAATCCTTGTTAGAAGGAACCTCTCACCCAGAGAGCTGGCTTGGTACAGTCAACCATTGAATTTCCACAAAAAAAATTGAGGGTGAAGGCGAGGAAAAAAAGAAGCATGTGTTCATGATGGGGAAGAGCAGCATAGATAAAAATGTGCATTGTTCATTTTTGTTTTGGGTTATTTGCTGGGCTGTTTAAAGTGCCAGGTCTGGCTCTTATACAAGTCTCAGCTCCAATAAGCTGGCTGCAGGGGAGACTTCTTGTTGCAATTATCCTCTAAGCATAGCTAAGTCATAAAATCCAGGACTTTTCTGATGTGAAATGTGCAGGCTTTAAAAATCAGTGTCACTGTCAACTGCTGCTGCCAGCAAAATAAGTGATTCACATTGTGGCAGAAAACTCCCCCAGAGTGAAAGCTAATGAGAACACACACGGAGACTTCTGGATGTCCAGTCGGAACCCCACACAACGGCAGCATGGGGGCTGGCATTTCAAAGGTCAGAAATCAAACAGGGCTGAAATCAAGGGGGAGAGAATTCTCAGAAAAGACATAGACTTGGCAAGGACTCCATGGGCAAAGAAATTCTCATTGCAAACTCCCGTAAGATAGCTTTGGTCCCTGCAACTTCTGAATAAAGGTCTCCGTGAAACTGTCCCTGACCACTCCGTTTAAAATTACAGCCTTTCCCAATCCCTATCCTCTTGCTTTTTAAATTTTTCTCCAGAGCATTTACCATCATGTAATAAACTATATGCTTTACTTATTACTCTTTCCCCACCAGAATGTAAGCTACATGATGGCTGGAAATTACTTTTTGTCTGTTTTCCTCTCTGCACTAGGTGCTTAGCATATGCTGGGCGCAAAGTATTTGTTGAAAGAATGAACATGTGTATAAAAATATCCCCACAACAGCCTCTTGTGGTGAGGACTGTCATCACCATTTTACAGATAAGAAAATGGGAGAGCAGAGATTTAAGTCTCATGCTTTAGACCAGGGCTTCTTAAATATGAACAGACAAAGGAATCCCTGGGGATCTTGCTGAAGTGAAGGCTCTGACTCAGCAGGCCTGGGTGGGGCCTTAGTTCTGCATGACCATGCCTCAACTTCCAGGTAGTGCTAGAGCTGCTGGACAGCTACGCACCCAGACAAAAGGATGGCGCAAGACCCTGCAAGTGGCTAAAGGAAATCAAAATGTTTTATCCCAAAATAGATTTCTTTGACATCGTTTGAAATGGCTGCTGCTGGGCCAGCAGACAGAAGTGGCCTTGCAAAACTGTCTCTTGTGGGGAAATTTTGCACCTGTAGAGAATCTCCTTGAATGCAGCCAGCCCTTCTCTTTCCAGGCCTTTCCCAGATCTAGGACAGATTGAGTCTGACACCTTTACAAGTCTGAAAAGAAATTCACCATCTATTCTCTCTAGGAGTTATGACCTGGAAGGCTTCATCTACATAACAATGCCACCTTTGCTAGCCAAGCCTCCTTCTTTCTCTCCCCCATGACATGTCTTGCCATTAAAACCTGGTTGTGGTCATGCTCTGAGCCTGCATTCTTTCTATAACCTCAAGATGGTATATAAGCTTCTGTACCTTACCAGGGGATTGGGTCTTCATTCTGAAGCCTCCCCTGTATACAAGTTAAATAAATCTGTGTGCCTTTTCTCCTATTAATCTGCCTTTTCTGAGTTGATTTTTCAGTGAAAAAGACCAAGGGTTCCCCTTGACCCCACACTGTACAGTTGTGGCAGGATGAACCCCCAAATTGGGGTTTGGCCTGGGAGGGCCGGTGGGTTTTGGCTTCCTAAAGGAAAGAATTCAAGAGGAAGCCCAGAGAGTAAAGTGAAAGCAAGTTTATTAAGAAAGTAAAGAAATAAAAGGTGGTTACCCCATAGGTAACACAGCCCCAAGGGCTGCTGCTTGCCTATTTTAATGGTTATTTCTTGATTAAATGCTAAAAAAGGAGTGGATTATTCATGAGTTTTACAGGAGAGGGGCTGCGAATTCTCAGAACCCAGGGTTCCTTCTGTTTTTAGAGCATACAGAGTAACTTCTAGGAGTTGCCATGGCATCTGTAAATTGTCATGGTGCTGGTGAATTATCATTAGTGTCACCATCTTGATTCTGGCTGTCTTCAGCTGGCTTCTTTACCACATCCTGCTTTATCAGCGGGGTCTCTGTGACCTGCGTCTTGAGAAACAAGTCCTGCTGAACTCCTATTTCACAGTGAACCCCACTGTTAAGAGTGAACGTCAACTTAGCCACTTACCAATTTACCTTGGCCTTCCCTCTAACTCTTCCTTGCCTCAATTTCCTTAAGAAATTATTATGAAGATTAGATTAATTTGTTCTTGTAAAGTACTTGATACAGTATCTCTGCACTATACCTATCTGTAATAAGTTAGTAAGATTTCATACTTTTTGGTCTGAATCTAACAACTTTCTCTCAGAATCCTAAGGGAGCATTATTAAAGTTATATTCTGCTTCACCAAAATAGAAGTCAACATTTATGCTGAGAACCCTGATAATATACACCTACTATCAGAAAATTAGAAGTTTCTCCTGGATATATTATGTGAAAATTTTGAGACAGGTTCCTAAAAGTGGAATTGTTGATATTCATATTTTAAATTTTGGTAGTTATTGTCAAATTGCCTTTCATACCAGCAGTATTTGAAAGTGCTCATTTCTCTTCATCTTAACCAACAATGGATCTTAACAATTTTTTAGATTTTTGCCAGTTTAATGAGGAGAAAAACCTCATTTTAAGTTTGCATTGCTCTGATTACCAGTGAGGCTAGGCATCTTTCTATATGTTTATTTGCTATTAAAATTTCTTTTTGAACTCCTGGCCTCAAGTGATCCTCCTGCTTCAGCCTCCCAAAGTGCTGGGATGACAGGCATGAGCCACCACACCCAGCCCCTAAAATTTCTTCTTTTGTGAATTTCCTGTTCATATAACTTCAACCATTTTTATAATTTTTGGTCTTTTCTGCATTATTTTGTAGAAGTAATTTATATATTATCTATTTGTTACCCATGTTGCAAATATGTTCTCCCAAATATCTTTTCCCTTATGATGTATTTTGATCACATAAAAGTTTAACATTTTTATAGGTTTAAATTTGTTAATTTTTTCTTTATGGTTTCAGGATTTTATGGCTTGCTTAGGAAGAAGAGCTTCCCATCTAAAGATTATGAAAATATTCAGTTCTGCAAATATTTTTTTTAACATCTAACTTTAATTCACCTGTTTTTTGTTTGTTTGTTTTTTTCTGTGAGGTACAGGCTTTCTCTAATGTCTTCCCAAATGGATAGCCAATTGTCTTCATATCATTTATTGAAGAGTTTATACACTGCCACTGTTTTGGAACGATATTTCATCAAATTTTTTTTTCTGCCCTCTTTTCTCTATCGTCTTTCTCTGCAACTCCAATTGTGTATATCTTGATAAACTTTGTGGTGTCCCACAAAGCACACCAAAGGCCTCTGGGGCTTCAACCATTTTGCTTGTGTTTTATTCTTTTTTCCTTCTGTTCTTCAGATTGGAAAATCTGTACTGTAATCCAGCTTCAAGTTCACTGATTCTGTGTCAGCTCAAATATGCTATTGAGCCCCTCTAATGAATTGTTCATTTCAGGTGTTTTGCTTTTTTTTTTTTTAATTAAATTGAGACAGAGTCTCACTCTTTTGCCCAGGCTGAAGTGCAGTGGTGTGATCTCGGCTCACCGCAACCTCCGCCTCCTGGGTTCAAGCAATTCTCCTGCCTCAGCCTCCTGAGTAGCTGAGATTACAGACGACTCTCCTGCCTCGGCCTCCTGAGTAGCTGGGATTACAGGCATCTGCCACCACTCCCAGCTAATTTTTTGTATTTTTGGTAGAGATGGGGTTTCACCATGTTGGCCAGGCTGGTCTTGAACTCCTAACCTCACACCCGCCTCAGCCTCCCAAAGTGCTGGGATTACAGGCATGAGCCACCGTGCCCAGTCAGGTGTTTAACTTTCTTTTATTTATTTGTTGTTTTTTTTTTGAGATGGAGTCTTGCTCTGTCATTCAGGCTGGAGTGCAGTGGCACATCTCGGCTTACTGCAATCTCTGCTTCCCGGGTTCAAGCGATTCTCCTGCCTCAGCCTCCCGAGTAGCTGGGATTACAGGCACCTGCCCACGACACCTGGCTAATTTTTGTGTATTTTTAGTACAGACAGGGTTTCACCATGTTGGCCTGGCTGGTCTCCAACTCCTGACCTCAGGTGATATGCCCAACTCAGCCTCCCAAAGTGCTGGGATTACAGGCATGAGCCACCATGCTCAGCCCATGTTTTACTTTCAATTCCAGAATTTCCCCTTGGTTCTTATAATTTCCATCTATTTTATTATTCATTTATTTAATTTCCACTTATTTTAATTTATTCATCAATATTATTACTGATATTCTTTATTTGATGAATCATTGCTGTCATACTTTATTTAAACTGATTTTAGTTCTTTAAACATTTGTAATAGCTGCTTTGAAGTCTTTGTTAAATCCAACATCTGGGTTCCTCAGTTTTTATTAACTGTTTTTTTCTTCCTGTATAGCACATGAGAAATATATATGATATATACAGTGTCTGTGTGTATTTAAATTGGACATTTTAGATAATATATTGTAGCAATTCTGGATTCTTACCCCTCCCATTGAGGGGTAGTTGTTACTTTTTTTTTGTTTTGTTTGTTTAGTGACTTGCCTAGACATAGTCTCTGGAGTCTGTTTTTCCTGGAGTGTGCAGCCTCTGATGTTTCTGCTGGCAAAATATATATTGCATGTATGCATATATATGTATGTGGGTATATGTGTGTGTGTGTGTGTGTGTGTGGGTATATATATATGTATATATATATTTATCACTTGTTTTTATTTTTAAGCCTGGTTTTGTAGGGGCTGTCCTGGATCAGCACAGCTTAGTGATCAGCCAGTGACTGGTCAGAGGCTGTATGTAAACATCTTGATCTAGGAAGGTTTTCACCCTCAGTTGGTGGGTCTGTGTGTGTCTCTGGGGAAAGCATTTGAAGATCAGGCAGTTTACAGTCAGCTTCAGCTCTTACCTTCTGTATTCACAAGTCCTCAGGGCCAATCAGTTGATTCTCTTGGATTTTTTTAGGGAGACAATAACAATTTTTACAATAGGATACTTTTTTTTTTAAGAATAAAGGCTATCATTTCTTTTTATTGTTAAGGCCTCCAACACAACTAAACTGAAGAGACACTAGCAGGGACTCATGCCTGTTCCTCACTTAGCTTGAAGTTTCCTATAGGTTTCTGGCAAAGGGTCTTTGTCAAGTTGAGGAAGTCTTCTATGCTTTCCTTACTGGAAATGTAATAAAATATCATAAATAAATGTTGAATTTAATTTTTAACTTTTTAGAAACCCTTATCAAGATTATCATTTGGTTATTTTTCATTTAATCCTTTTATTATTAATAATAATATATAATGAGTTATATTAATCAGTTTCCTCATGGAGAACCAACTTAGCATTCCTGGATTACATCCTGTTTTACCCAGACTATATTATTCTTCTAATAGGAATCAATTTGCAATTTTTTTTTTTTTTTTTTTTTTTTGAGACGGAGTCTCGCTCTGTCGCCCAGGCCGGACTGCGGACTGCAGTGGCGCAATCTCGGCTCACTGCAAGCTCCGCTTCCCGGGTTCACGCCATTCTCCTGCCTCAGCCTCCCGAGTATCTGGGACTACAGGCGCCCGCCACCGCGCCCGGCTAATTTTTTGTATTTTTAGTAGAGACGGGGTTTCACCTTGTTAGCCAGGATGGTCTCGATCTCCTGACCTCATGATCCACCCGCCTCGGCCTCCCAAAGTGCTGGGATTACAGGCGTGAGCCACCGCGCCCGGCCCTCAATTTGCAATTTATTTAGAACTTTTGTATCTGTTTTCAAAGTGAGTTTGGCTCACTGCTTCCTATTTTTGCGTGAGTGTGCCCGCTCTCCATTTCTGGTTTCTGTACCAGGGCTATGTTAGTTTTCTGGAATGAGTTTCTTTATCTTTTTCTACTCTCTGGAACAGCTTATATTAACATAAGAATTATCCATTCCTTGAAAGCCTACTAGAATCTGCCTATATAGCTATCTGGGTCGGTGATTTTTTTTAAGATATAGGTCTTTGTCTACTTTTACATTTTTTTCTAAGATAGTCTAGTTGGACTTTTTTTTTAACCTCATGCATATTTTATTCAGATTTTATCTTTGTGTGAATAAAATTGAAAAGATTTTTTTGTTTTGTTTTTGTTTTTTTGAGACAGGATCTGTCATCCTGGCTTGAGTACAGTGGTGTGAACATGGCTCACTGCAGCCTTGACCTTCTGGACTCAAGGGATCCTCCCACCTCAGCCTCCCAAGTAGTTTATGCCACATGCCTGGCTAATTTGTTTTTTATTTTTTGTGGAGACAAGGTCTTACTTCCTTGTCTGGGCTGGTCTTGAACTCCTAGGCTCAAGGATCTTCTTGCCTTAGCCTCCTAAAGTCCTGGGATTACAGGCATGAGCCAACCATGCCCAGCTCAAAAGATGTTATAAATTTTAAATCTTCATATAAGTATGGTACTTCTTTAAAAAGTATTTCTAGTGTTGTTTTTTGGCATCATCGCTCTTCTTTATTTCTTGTTGAAGCTTGCTGCAGGTTTGTCTATTTTTTTGGACAAAAAAACAGCTTTTGATTTTGCTAATGTGGAATACTTTTGTTGTTATTATTTTTTCTATTTCAGGATATGCTTTGTCTTTAATAATACCTTCATTTTACTTTCTTTGAGTTGGGTTTATTTCATTGTCCCTTGTCTAGTTTTTATGTTGTCAATTTAGTTCACTTATTTTCAGTCTTCCCTATTTTCCACATGTAAGTAGTGGCATTTTCCTCTGTGTTGGTTTTGTCTAAATCCCATTGGTTTTGATATGAACAACCGCTCACTGTCTTTCACTTCTAATTTGTTCATCCCTTCAACTTTGATTTCTTTTTTTTCTAAAAAGTTAATTTGAATGGTGTTTAAAATTTCCCAAGTGGATTTGTTTTTGGTTGGTTGTTTGCCTAACCTTTTGTTTTTAGCTTCCAAGTTTATTGCATTGTGGTCAGAGACTGTGGCTTCTACTGCTTTGACTTTAAAAATTCCATTGATGCTTATTTTTGTGTTGTTGTATGTTGAATAATTTGTAAATGTTCACATTTGAAAAGAATGTGCATTCCCTTATTTATGTTAGGATCTCTGTTAATTACTCCATATAAATTAGTTTCTTCAGTCCTTACAGTGTGAGATAGGTACTACTACTAGTTCATTTTACAGATGAGGAAAATAAGATTGGGGAGTTAAGGTAACTTCCTATAGGTTGCCATAGCTGGTAAACAAGGGAGCAGTAATGAAAATCAGACATTCTGACTCATTCTGTCTTGGTCTCTATATAAATGATCGCAACTCTAGTTGCATTATTCAAATACTCATTATTTTACTCCTACTTGTGTGATGATTTTTGAGGGGAAAGCAATAAATTTTCTTGCAATGACTGTGAATGTGTCAATTTCTTTTTGTGTTTCTATGGTTAAAGCTGTGTTGTTGGTTATATAAAATTTCATTTATGTTACAAATTCTTAGTGGACTAAATCTTTAACACTCTGAAATATATTTTCTTTTGCTCTGTTTAATGTTTGTGGGTTTTGGGCTTTAATTATACTTCATTTGCTGTTAATATTGCTATACTTTATTTCTTTGGGTTAATATTTGCCTTTTTTTTTTGAATGCCTTACATTCTGGGTAACTTTGAAGGTGTATTTCTTACAAGTTATTTGGTACTTGGATTTTTAAAATTCTAATCTGAGAGTGTCTTTAGGGCATTTAATCCATTAATTATTATTTTGATTATTGAAATATTTAGGTTTATTACTTCCATCTTATTATACATTTATTTTTTTCTTCATAAATTCTTTCCTTTTGGATTGTTTTGAATTTAATTATGTTTTAAATTCTTCTTCTTTAGTGGTTTGGATGTCCTACATTGTTTTTTGTTGCCCTTAAAATTTTACATATTTAAACATTTATTTTACCAAAGCCTTGAGCTAATTGGTACATAAACTTGTCCCCCCAAGACAAGAATCTTGACTTGCTTTCATTTCCATCTCTCTTGACTTCTAACTCTTATATTATGATCATCTGATATTTTCATTCCAGATTGCTATTTAAAAAAAGGAATAAGTTTAACTGGCTTTTTTGTTCTTCTGCAATACATTCTCAGAAAATCCAAGTTTCGAATCCCCTACTTTATTCTTTAATATTTATTCTACTCTATGGCTTATATTGAAGTTTCATTTGAATGATCAATATCTTGAATTTACAAATCTCTAGTTTATTCTGTTTCATGGAAACACTGTCTTTTTGCATTGCTCTGAAGACATCAGTCTTGCTTATTCAGAAGCCTTCTGTTGGCCTTGTTACTGCACCCTCTGGTATTAGTTCTTTTGATTGCGGTTGCTGCCTCTCTGCCCTGGTGTTGATGCTCCTCCTCTGGTGGGTGATTCTTGGGGGTCTACTCCTCATCTGTCTGTCCTATTGACTGAGCCTGCCTCTGGTGATTAGGGAGTGGGCAGCACTTTCAGGAGCAGTGTGCAATTCAGCACAATGGGAACCACGTGAACTTTGGAGTCAGACCTGGTTACAAACCCAGCTCTACTTTTTAGCAGCTGTGTCAGGTTGGGCAAATCCTTGAAGCTTGGTTCCTCAACTTGGGATGCTGATCTTACCTTATGAAGGTGCCATAAGGATTAAATTTGACAGCACATGAAAAAGGCTACTAAAGCCTTGGGACAGCAATAAATGGTATTCATTTTTTTGGGGGGGTCAGTTATTCAGGAGTAATTTCTTTACTCTTTAGCTTTGGATTATATCGACTGATTTGATGGCCCCAACTTAAGAAGCTCCTCCAGGTCATCCTTGGGGAAAACAATTCATTCCTCCATTTATGTCTAATTTTAAGCTCCTGTTATGGTCAGTGATGTATCAGGTGCATATTTTCTTCATAGGGATGTGAGCAGTCCCACTATAAATTAATTGAAGTTCCCACATCAACTGACTCATTGTGGGATACCCATCGTACATCATGGGTAGGCCTGTCTACTGTACAAGCATGGGGAGGGAAGATTTTACAGTTTACTAAAATATGAGTCCTGGCACCAACTTGGAATATTCTAACAGATGTTGGTATTCATGCCATATTGAAGTCAATGTCCTAATGGTACCCTATGGCAAAGACATTGATATATCTCCTTAGAAAATTATCATTCATCCCTACAATTTTACCTCCTGGAAATCAGGTCAGTTCTTTAGAATCACTGCCCCATAGCAAGAAAACAACAAGCCAGAGAGGCCAATATTTTCAATTGGTTTTGCAGGAGGAGGAATGAATGGTATGATATTTATTTTATATCTCTTCTGGACTAACACTAGAGTTCTTTCAAAAATCCAGTACTTTCACCTGGAATAAAAGTTCTAGCCCTTCACTCCCTGTTAGCTATCATTTCTGACTTTTCCCCTTCTTGCATATTAACAAGAGCCAAATCCCAAAGCCTTCTCCTCCAGTGTGAGAAAGCTGCTCACAGATACAGGTTTTTAACTCCATCAAGTGAAGCTTGCAGTCTGAGATAAAGCTCCCATCTCTTCCATTGAACCTTCAGAAATTGTGAGTAAAACTTAACTTTGGAAAGACCACTACCCTCTTCCCTTCATAAGCCATGAAGCTTGTGACAGATGTGTTATCTTGGTGCAATCTTAGACCTGTGCTCAGGGGCTATGCTACACGGCTCGCCTCTGCAGAAGAATGGCAATAAAGTGAAGTGGTTCAATTTTTCAGGTCTGTTCTGAAAAATTGAGAAGATGATCTATCTTCACTTCAAAAAGAAATCTCTAAGGAGCAAGTGGACACAGCCTGCCTCCCATAAGCTGTCTGGCTCACTCATTTTATTCCTGGAAATCAGGTGAGTTTTTTAGAATGACTGTCCAATAGAAGGAAAAAAGTAAGCTAGGGAGGTCAGTAGCTACTGCTCATTGCAGCAGGCCAAGGGTGGTTTGCTGACAATGTCCATGACATGTAGTTAGACTCTAGTATCAAACAGGGAGCTTGGCCTTCTCCATGCCTAAGTCAGCAGGTAGGAAGGTTCAGGTCTACAGCACACACACGATGTACCCAAGAAGAGTGATTAATTTACAAACTGACAGAGGAAATGACTGTGGTTCAGTACTCTCTGTCATTCTGCCAAAATATCTATCTGCTGTACATCTGCAGAAGGCATACGGAACACTTACTCTTGCCTATTTGTATAAGAGCTAGGCAAACAGAATGGAGAACCGGGTGTAGCTCCCAGCACAGCAGATACTCATCATACACTCACAAGTGGTGACTGTTCCTCTATCTGGAATGTTCTCTTCTTCACCTGTTCTCTTGGTGAACTAGACATCCTCTAAGCCCTGACTTGAAGAGGTTCCTTTGTGAAGCACTGAACCTTTGTAGCATCCTGGGGTCTGGGCATGCCTCCATTATTGCATTTGTTATACGGTATTACAATGGCATTTTATGTATCTGTTTCCTGCAAGACAGTGAGTTCTGGGGCAGATGTGGGACTTATTCCTCTCCTTGGAGCCTGGCACGTAATAGGTACTTGCTGAGCCAGTGTTTGTGAACAAATCAAGAATGATTTGTTACTAGTAATTTTGCTATTTCAGATAGACTAGAAAGGTCTGTCATTCTTCCCCTCTATTATTTTCATGATCATTACAACCTGGCTTCCTGATGGACAGACACTAGGTCCACAGTGACCTGTTTCCTTTTTTTTCTGTGCTGTGGGAAGTCAGAGTAGGGTCCACACAACCCCCGTGGGTGGGAAGCAGTGAAAATTGATAGTCTTTCCTCAGGCCACCACCGTGGCTCTGTTTTTAAGGTAAATACAAGCACAGCAGAGGGGCTCAGAGACATTAGCTACAAGGAAAGAAGATCACGAGCCAAGGCTGGGAGTTTGGAGTGGTTACACTTCATTAGGCTCCCCGTAAAAACCTCCCATATATAAGCCAGACACTCTCCACTTACAGACAGCTGGACCTCAAGAAATGCTTTGGGCAAACACAAAAGACTCTTTGGTGAAAGCTAGAGGCAGGTTGGTCCTGCCCAGGGACCCCAGAAGCAGCCCCAGAGACTTCTAAATGAATTCTGAACCAAGTCAGAAAACTGTGCCACACGTGGGTCCGTAGGTAGGGTGACAGCCCAGGGCCCATAGGGCGAGTAAGCCCATCCTCATTATGCTCTATGGATGATGATCACAGGCAATACAGACACCAAGGGCACTGTTAGAGAGGGAGAAACAATTTGAGGGTCCCAAGGGTGTGGAGAGGAATGACAGATGAGCCTTCCCTCCATGCCTATAATCTGTTTCTGCTTCAGTTGGCTTAACATGTCCAGCTGGTGCCCAGCTGTTCAGTAGCCTTTGGAGGTTGGGGAATGGTGGTGGCTGAGAGTGGGGGTGGGGAGGGAATGCCACCAGGCCAAAGGGTCACCTCCTAGTGCAGTACAGAGAATGAGTGCTGGTTTCTCCTAATAGGACTGAATTTCACTTGCACCAAGCCACCCAAATCCCCAGAATGAAAGCCCTGCTCCATTCAAAGTCCCATAAGGCCAAAGTGGAAACCGTCATGAGCTCTGAATCACACCTGACCCAGTGAGCATTCTCAGGCCCTACTGAGCAAGGGAGGGGCGGAGCCACAGGAGGCCCTTGCCGAGGGCTTTAAGGCAGAGGGTGTGCCAGCTGTGGGCCTCTGAAACAAGTATCTGGGGACTCTCGCCTCTTCACTACAGCACCTCATGCACTCGCTTTTATGCTTCTACTCTTGTTGTCATTCTGGGCTCAGTGGTGATCGTTTATAAGAACACAGAGAGCTTTCCTACTTGCTTAGTGAGATGTGCCAGTGAATTTACTTTTCCATACGATGAAGATGCCCACAGCCTTTGATCACAGGCTGGGCTATCCAGATGGAGACTTGGCCATCCTAGGGCCAAGTCTGTTACAGACTTTATGAAAATTCTAAATATAGTTTTGAAAATCCAAAGGATTTGTTTCTCAGAGCCCAAAGAACAGAGTGCAGCCAGCTCACACCACTTGGGTATCTGAGGGTCCACTCAGCCAGAACGATAGCCAGGCAGTTGTCCAGGTCTTCAGGAAACCACTTCTAATGCCTTCCATGCAAGCCAGCTATTTGTAAGTGTGAGCCCAAGTCCCTTCCAGTGGCTTTTCCTTGGCTCGATGATCAGTAAAGAGGAAAAGGGGTATCCCTGGTTTTGGGGTACCTTCAGAATCTGAGTGACTTAAATGTCTTGTTTTGGTCAATAGATGATTTTGCCCATAGGAAAAAAAAAGGCTCCTGCAACACTGTAGATGTTCACGTGAACAACTCAGAAAGCATGCTCTAGGAAGAGAACACTCCTAGATGCTGGGGAAATGTGGCATGGTCAGCATGGTTAATAATATTTAAGAGGGTAGCCAGAAGCCTGTGTGGTTTGTTCACCTCATGCTAAGTTCCAACCATAGTACATCATAGGTGCGGAACACTGGCGGCTTTCTTCTGCTGGGTCAGCAGAGCCCAAAGACAAGGGGATGCCATGGAACTGGAATGGAACATCATGAGGGATGTTAACATCTGAGCTGGCATCTCGGGAGGAGTGACCTGTTCTACATTCAACATTCACATGCGTCTGGTTTTCAGTCCACATGACCCAGAGGGCAGCAATGCCAGAAATTACTGTCACCATCACACAATGTTTTCTGAACCTCCACCCTGTGGGCTGTGTCCTCTTCAACTCTCGGCTCAGATATTCACCTGCTCCATATGGGCCTTGCTGCCCTGATTTTCAAGCTATCTATGGAAAAACTGTCCCTTTGGCTGAATGTCCTTCACGTGCCCCTATAGAGAGCAATGCTTTCACAATCCTCTCAACATGGACTGCAGGCACTTTCCCTGTGCAAAATGCACTCAGCAAAATGCATTCAGACGCATGCAACTGCAGATGCTGCTGGGGGTTCCCAGAGCCAGCGAAGTCCATCCCAGGAGCTGGTTCGTAATTAACTCTTCCCCATCTCCAAAGAGGTCTTCTTACAGCATTAACCAAATGGTCTCAATGTAGAAATTCAGGTATCACAGGTCCCCTGGCCTCTCCAGATATGTCTCCAAAGGGTAGAATGAGTTGAATTTTCCAAACCCTCAAGGTGGATGTCAGGGTAGGGTGGAATACAAAATTTGAATGGGCTGGCTCAAAGCTGAAAGCAATAGTGAAAACAAATGGAGAACTCACCACCATTTCCTGGACATGAAACATCTCTGCACCACCAGATGAGAGTCGATTAGGGAAAGAGATGCTGACAGATGACCCTGGAAGGGTGCTTGGGCCAGTGTTGTAGACCTGTGGGTGTGGAACACACACAGCAAGTCTCAGTGGAAAATAGCAGACCTCCATTTCCTGTCATGCAATATATATTCTAAGATTCTTTGAAATCACATACAGAAACTCTAAGGTTCGGATCTGGAAGGTCACAACTTGAAGTAAAGTGAACTACTGAATGACGGGAAATTTCAACAAAATAGAAACACTTCTAACATGCATCTAAAAATCTCAAACTTTGAAACTACCATATTCTCTTTCAGCATTTTGTCTTCTTCCTGCTAAAACTTTTCTTTTTACATGCATAGGAATTTACTCATAGACTATTACACTTGGTGAGAACTCAGACATCATAATCTAGTCCAGTGGTTCTCAAATTTCAGCAAAACATCAGAACCATCTGAGGGGCTTGTTAAAACACATTTTGGTGGGGGGGTATGGAGTGGGGGTCATGCCGAGTTTCTGACTCAGTAGGTCTAGGGTGGGGCTGGCAGATTCATATTTATAACATGGTCCCAGGAGATGCTGCTGCTGCTGGTCCAGGAACCACCACTTGAGACCCACAGATCTGGTCCAACCTCTTTCCTTTGCCAGTTTGAGGTAACTGAGGCCCTCAAGGACCAAGTGGGTCATCCCAAAACCAAGCGATCGAATATACAGAAAGGGCTGTTTTTACTACATGAGCCAGCTGATTTGGTTTCCAGGCAATCTGCAGCTCATCACTTGCACAACTGTACCCCTCTTCTGTCTCAGCATTTGGTTCTATAAAACTTTGCCTCTCTTGTTTTCCCTAGCATTTCTCCATTTTCTGTCTTCAGAAGTCAATCATTTCCTGAGAAATGAGGAAAAAGATGGAGGTCACAGAGACCAGTAAGAGCAAGGAGGGAGAGGAAAAAGCTGAACATGAAACTCGAGGAAGAAACAGAATATGCAGAGGAATAAAAAAAGTGAGTAGATCTCTAGAGACAGAAAGTAGATTAGCGGTTGCCTAGGGCTGGGGAGCAGGAAGAATAGGGAGTAGGACAGGCAGCATGACAGGCCCCCCAAAGATGTCCATGTCCTCATCTGTGGAACCTGTGAATGTTATGTGGCCAGGGGGAATTAAGGTTGCTAATCAAGCGACCTCAAAATAAAGAGGGTATCTTGAATTATCCAGGTGAGCACATTGTACTCACAAGAGTCCTTATATAGGGAAGAGGCAGAAGTCAGATCAGAAAGAGAACATCCTAAGACTTGACCAGCCATTGCTGGCTTTGAAGATGGAAGGGGGCCATGAGCCAAAGAATGCAGGCAGCCCTTAGAGGCTGGCAAAGGCAAGAAGTGGATTTTCCCCTGGTGCCTCTGGCAAGAACACAGGCCCTGATACTTTGGTTTTAGCCCAGCGGGGCCCATTTTGGACTTCTGTTCTTCAGAACTGTAAGATAACAAATTTGTGTTGTTTTAAGCCACAAATGTTGTAGTAATTTGTTACAGCAGCAATAAGAAATTAATACAAGAAGCTATGTCAATGGGTTAAGGATTTTTCTTTTTTCTTTTTTTTTTTAAACAGTCCAGAGGTCTTTCATTTTTTAGACACCTATTATGCCATGAATTCATAGGGAACAGGTTCCAGCAGCTCAGGCTCCTTCCCATTGGTTCTCACAAAGTGTGCTTCTCTGGGTGGTGCAGGCTGGTGCTTCAGTTGGACCCAGGTATCTTTCTGTTTGGCTTCCTTCTTTTTTTTTTTTTTTTTTTTAAGACAGAGTCTTGCTCTGTCGCCCAGGCTGGAGTGCAGTGGGCCAACCTCGGCTCACTGCAACTTCCACCTCCTGGATTCGAACAATTCTCCCTGCCTCAGCCTCCTGAGTAGCTGGGATTACAGGTGGCTGCCACCATCCCCGGCTAATTTTTGTATTTTAGTAGAGACGGGATTTCACCATGTTGGCCAGGTTGGTCTCAAACTCCTGACCTCAGGTGATCCGCCTGCCTCGGCCTCCCAAAGTGTTAGGATTACAGGCGTGAGCTACTGTGCCGCCAGCTTCCTTCTTTTTCTGATCATTTTCCTTCACGTGTTTCAGGAAGCTATCTTGGCTCTTAGAGTGCTTAATGTGCTCAATACGTACATTAATTTTCTTGGCAAGAATCTTGCCCTTAACTTGTGTGTTTATAACAATGCCAACAGCATGCTGGGTAACACCGTAGACTCTTTCAGTTTAGCCATGGTAATACTTGCGGGGCCTTCCTTTTTGAACAGTACCCATTCCCTTGATGTCTATAATGTCACCTTTCTTATAGATTTGCATACACGTGGCCAAAAAAACAACTCCATGTTTTCTAAAAAGCCTAGAGAACATATATCAGGTGCCTTTCCTCTTTCCCTTTGTGTTCGACATTTTGGCGAATTACTGGAAGATGGTGGTTCTGGCCAAAAGGCCGAAATTTCTTTTGGGGGTGATTGAAATGTTCCAAAATTTTGCAACAACAAGGACGGAACTGGAGGTCATTATGCTAAGTAAAATAAGCCTTGGGAGGCAGGCATGTTTGAGACCAGCTGGGCAACGTGGTGAAACCCCGTATCTAAAACCCGACCCCCTCTCCACAAAAAAAATTAGCTAGGCGTGGTGGTGTGTAACTCTAGTCCCAGCTACTCAGGAGGCTGAGGTGGGAGGATTGCTTGAGCCCAGGAGGTTGAGGCTGCAATGAGCTGAGACTGCACCACTGCACTCCAGCAGCCTGAGTGACAGTGAGACACTGCCTCAAAAAACAAAACAAAACAAAAAAAAAAAAGAAAAAAAAGGAAAGAAATAAGCCAGATATAGAAAGACAAACATCACATGTTCTTATTTGTGAAAATCAAACAAAATTGAACCAAAACAATTGAACTCAAAACCAAAACAATTGAACTCATGCAGACAGAGAGTAGAGGGATGCTAACCAGAGGCTGGGAAGGATAATGGGGGGATGGCTGTGGCGGGGGGTGGTGGGGATGGTTAATGGATTAAAAAAATTGAAAGAATAAGACCTAGCAATTGATAGCACAATAGGGTGACTATAGTCAATAATAATTTAATAGTACATTTTAAAGTAACTAAAAGAGTATAATTGGATTGTCTGAAACACAAGGGATTTCTTGAGGGGATGGATACCCCCATTTTACATGATTATTATGCACTGCATGCCTGTATCAAAACATCTCATGTATCCTATAAATATATACACCTACCATGTACTCACAAAAATTAAAATGAAAAAAATTTAAAAATATTCTACAACTAGATGATGATGACAGGTTCACAATTGTGTAAACATATTAAAATAATTGAATTGTATGCTTTAAATGGGTGAACTTTAAGGTATGTAATCATATCTCAATAAAGGTGTTATTTTTAAAAAGATGAGTAAAATATAAAATATATAAGTTTTGTCAATTTAAAACTAAATGTTTAAAAAGGATAAGTAGGAGAGAGGAAGGAATGACATGCTGCTTGGTGGCCTGGGCACTAGAGAGAGAATCCAGGGAATCTGCAACTCTGAAGTTGAGGTCAGAAGGGCAGAGCCAACAAAAAGCCAGAAATCTTACCAGGTCTTCACACATGACAGGATGTATGAAGATCTAGCTCCAGCTAGCTCTTCCCTAGAAAACTGTGTCTTTGGTTTTCTGCAATAGTTGGTTCCACTTCAAAGAATAAATAGATAAAAACTGATAGAGCAGATGAGTGGGTTGCCAACTCCTGATTCAAAAAAGAACAATATTCACCAAACAACCTGAAGACATAGAAAAGGAAGGAATATCTGACCATAGCTGAAATAACTAATTTGAAGTGAAACATGAGTGCACAGAATTAAAAAGAAACATCCTGGCATGTCTGGGAAATCCCATTTCAAGCATGAATGGGGTAAGCAATGAAGAAAAGGATGCTGATTTGCACTATTTCACTCATCAGAGCCAGGAGGACAGGAGAGCTTGTATTACCATCTTTATTTTTAACAAATGTCTTTATACTGGATTCTCTGCAAATGTTCATGTGTAATATCTGCATTATTTTTGGCCATTGTTTTTCAGGTGGGGAAATGCTTTAAATTTTGATGCCAAAAAAGCCTCTTATTGTCGAGAAATTAATGTGTCTGTTTAAAAACTATGATGAAATGTAAAAAGCAGGCCCAAGACTAGTATTTCTGCCTTTCTCCTGTGTACAATGGCAGTGGAGCCTTTAAACAATTATGTAGCTTGTTGAATAACCGATTTTTAAAAGCATAGAAAAATCTGTTCATATGGAAAGTCTTATGTTCTCCTTCAGGAACAATATTACTGGAATAAGGAAATATAGAAACATTTTCTCCGTATTCCTGGCCTCCTTCCACAGTATTTTCACCTTCTGGTCATTATCACTGCCAAGCTGGTTAGTGACCTTCCTGCAGGACAACCACAATAACAACCATTATACCAATAAATAAGTAGTCAGACAATTCTCAAGGAAAAAGTGGGCTTTGCTAGCACAGAAGGATCTCCTTCTAATCAATGGCACACACTATCAATCTTTCAGACCCAACTCTCTCAACCCTGGATTGAATGCTGTGCACTTCCTGAGGCAATGGATCACGGAGGAGTTTATCTAAGGGACATGCCAATCACTCATTCCCCAGGGCTGGATTCTCTAGCCTGAGTCCTATTTCAGGTCAGATGTGAAGAAAACTATTTGCCTGAATACCAAACTTTAAACTCACTGTAAAAATTACCTTCAGAGAAACAACTGGAAGGATAAGCTGCATACCCTCAGATTTCTTTCTTTTGTTCCCCAGAGGGTGATAAGAACATTTGGTATATTCTGTGCAACCCCTGTTCTTCTTTTCCTTCTTTCAACACTCATACCCTCTTCATTACATGGTCTGTGTTACTTGAACCCTTCTAAATAATTTTCTGAACTACATCTTTAATTGCAAGACACCCCCAAAACTATAAGAGTAGGAAAGAGTAGAAACAACTAAGATGAAATAAACCCATCAGGTCTTTATCTATTTCCTACCCAATTACGAAAAGCAAAGGAGAAAAATAAAATAACTCTGAGAAGCAATTCAGAAATGCAGAGGTGCTGTTCACAGCAATCACTCTACTGTCTCAAAAACAAGCTCTAACCCCATCCTTCCCTTTCTCCCCTGTAAATCAAGAGCAGGGTGTGACAGCAGGGGCTTAGTTGGTCAGAAGGCACATCCTCTGTGAGCTGGGGACATGTGTTATGTATCATGGTTTCGCAGTCTGTTGCTGGGAGAATACTCTGGGGAGAGGAAGACCATTGTTTGTCAGAGCCCACAAATGTTTTACTGCCACATTCTCTAGACCCTCACCCTGTCATTATTTGTCATCCCCTAAGTCCACCTAGGAGAGGCCACAAGGAAAGAAAATAATTATTATTTAGCCACAGCAGTGAATGCCAGAGTGGGAAACCATCTCTCCATGGGGAAGGACGCAAGAGGCAGAGAAGAGTTCTGGGAGGTAGAACCAGAGAGTGAGGAGATATGGACTGTTGTGTCCTATGGGTGAGTTGGGCCCATCTCCTTCACTTCATCCACACAGGGTCCGGCCAGTGCCGCCAGGTCTTGGCCCCAGCCCGGCTTCTCCCAGCTCTGGGACCTTCAGGATATCCTTTCTCGCTTGGGCCTACATTTCATGATGTGAAAATTATACGAAATTCAAATTTCATTGTCTATAAGGAACTAAAATTTTGTTTCTGTGTTATCTATGGCTGCCTTTGAACTACAGAAGTATGGTTGAATAGATGCTGCAGAGGCCAAATGGCCCACAAAGCCTAAATTACCCCATGGCTCTTTTCAGAAAAAGTTTGCTGACCCCCAACTAAGAGAAGAAACAGTGTCCTTCATGAGGTCCACAGTCTACACCAAGTGGACTTGCTGGAAATGATGCCTGTGTGCCTGGGCAAGCCAGCCATGGCTCAGTGAGGGAGCAGCGTGCCTCCCGTGGGGGCTCACAGGGGCTCACACTCCTCTGTTCTTATAAAACTGCCCTTCCGAAAGGCTGTTCCCCTGCAGGAGGAGTGGGCTCCTGGATGAGCTGGCAAGAAAATCTCAGGAGGAAGGGACACAGCAAATCCTCTGAGGCAGCCCTGCCCAGAAGGTGGGGAATGATGGAGAACAGAAAGGGGTCCTCATGGGGTCATCTGGGCTGGGACATTGGCTGAGGCCTCCACCACACAGAGGGCTTCTTGGGGAAAACTGGCATTCATGACGTGGACCTGTCCTTCCAAATCCTGAAAAAGCAGAGGGGCCTGCACAGCAGAGTACCAGGCATCGAAAAGGATTCATTCTGTGTGTGGTTACAGATCTCACACACACACCACACCAGCCAACCACAGAAGGGTTTCTCCTGACAAGAGCTTAGCCCTCTGTAGGAGAGACATCCCATGTGCCCTTCCGTTAGCCCCCACGGACAGAGGAGGTCTCCAGGAGTGGGTACCTGAAGGGTGATATTGATGGGCTGAAAGTGACACTCCAGGTCATCCAGCTGAATGAAGTTGGCTGCGTCCACGGACTCGCCATATACAAAGGAGGTTGGAGACATGATTCTGAAAGAGGAAAGCATGAAATCTGTCATCCCCACCCACAGTCAAGCACCCATGGTCACTGCCATTCTGAGAAGCAAACATTTGTCTCAATTTAATCCAGTGTCTTGCACCCAGTGCTTCCCTGCTGGGGCTGTTACATAGCCAGTCTGTGCTTTCTGACCAGGCATGAATAGTAGTGTCTTCTCATCTTAGGTTACGTCAATAAGCTGCATGGAGAAATATGCACTGGGATTACCTTTCTGAAATGACAAGATTATCATAGCTTTGACTTTTTAAAAACTGGATTATAAAAGTATACATTTTCTGTTTTGTCATTCGAAAAATGTTTTATGGGTTGAAGAAGATGATCATAAGCTTTTAAAAAATAAATATAAATGAGTTATGTATTTGGCATCCTAAACCCCACTCTATGACAAATTCACTTAAAAAACTTAAATTTATCAGACTGCCAAGATGACTAGAAGTTAGGCATTTGAAAGCTGAATCCGTTCATTGATAGCATTTTCCCTTGGATTTCGGAGGCTACATAAGAGGTGAGAAGAATTCAAGCTCAGTTTGCAGCAATGCTTTCAATGTTGCTTATATGAACACATTCCTGAGAAGAAACAAAGCTCTGACTGACACTCCCAGACAAATATCGACTTCTAGATGCTGGAGGCCACTCACTCACCTAAACACAACAATGGCAGATTTTTGAGACTAAGTCCGAATAGACAACAACTCATCCATTTTCAATGTTTAGTGCATTATTTTAGTAAGGTAGTGAGTTCCCAGCATTACCAAATGGCAAGAGCTGTTTTAGGTTCCTGGAGAGATCAGAGGTTGACTCATTTGTTTAACTGATGGCTTCATCAGGGGCTGTTAACACCTCCCAACAAGGTCCTCTAAGGACTGATTACATGATCAAGTGTCTGGGGGTGGTGGGGAGAATGTTTTCTCTTTGTCCCCAAGGATAGGGCTTGGTTCTGGGTATATTCTTGCTGTGCCTTTGATGAGACAAGTAAATAAATGATACAGTTAAAAATAGAGCTGTGAACAGAGGCAAAAATATGCTAATTTGCAAATATATTCCATCAGTACCTCATGTTTAAAAAACATGACCAAAAATGCCAAAAGCTCAGGAGCAGGAATGCTTGGAGACTCATTCCACTGGCTCCCAGCAGTGCGGGCTAGTGCAGGGATGGCTCTCCCTGCAAGGGATCAACATTTCTACTGCTAATCAAGGCTGAGACCCAGAAGCACTTGAAAACCGAAAAATTAGAAACTGTGAACCTCCAGAAAGTTCAGCTTGCATTTGGGTCAAGGGTTCAGTGGGTCCTCACCTGATCTAAACTAATTGTGTAAATCTTTTTTCCACTATCAAAGAGGTATGCACTCTGTTTTCTGAAGCTGGAAAGAAATGGAGTTCTCATTTTTCCAAGCTGGGGCTTTGGTTGAAAACTGACACAGGTTGTTTCAGGTCTCCACAGACTGCAGCCCAGGGTCCTGCTTTCCAACAATGCCAGCGGCACTGAATGACCGTGGACTTGACCCAGACAGACAGTGTGGCCGATGGGATGGTTCCCTGCCCATTCCAGACCATTATAGACATCAGGAAAAGCCACCTCTGGCTCTGCAGAGGGAGTTAACAGAAACAAGCAAAGCCAGCACTGCCTGTGGAGCTAATCAGAAAGTGGTCCTCCTGTGAGCCAGGACTGGAGACACATCTGGTGATAATCTCTGGCCCAGCAACTTCCAGCTGAGATTTTAATCCCAGGAGCCATGCTGCTTGTTACCATACAGCATTCTGGAGGGACTAGGGGCGGATGAGAATATATGCACATAAAGGTATATGGAATGTTCAAAGAAATTATGGGGCTTAAACTTGTCATCAAACTTCTCAGATTATCTACCAGGTGGGTGGGTAGGTGGGACAGAGGAGAAAACAAGGAGGGAGGAGTGTATGAGTTACTGCAGCTAAAGCTTCATCCTGCTTTTCAAGGCTGGGAGGAAGTGGAGGTGGCACAGCCCTTGGCTCCTGGCTGGCTACACATGCAAATATGAGAAGCACAGTGTTCCACTGGAGGGCACTCCTGTGTTGTGGCAACCCAGGACCAGGCTACTCACCCGGTGATGGACGTGTCCACCTCGTGCATCAGTGGCACCATCAGCACGAGGGTGTTGTCATGCAGGGATTCAGAGCGCTCCGTGTTGCCACTGTGCAGAGAGAGGAGAATGAATGAACGCTGGCCAACACTAGCTGTCCAGCAGTGGGCTTTCTCTGTTCCACTTTAGAGTTGAATCTCTACATTCTCCAAGGGCAGATGGCACCTCATTGCCTTCAGTCTGTTTTTGGTCCCTGTACATATCTATCAAGGGCACTCTATTGTCTTGGTTGTGTTCCACACAAAGATTTGAGTGTAAGTAGTTTATTCGAGAGGTGGCCCCAGGAAATGCCAGTAGGACTGGAGAGTGGAGAAGGGAGAGAGCAAAGGAAAGGAGACAATAAAGGCATGCCATACAGGAGGGTCGTGCTGTCGGCAGCCAGGGCCCAGTCTCGCGGGGACTCTGTGAGGCAGAGTCAGTCTTCCTAGCTGAGGGCATGGGAGCCAGGCCTTTATCCACTGACTCCTGAGAGCTGCTGTTGCTGCTGCTGGGGGTGGGGGTGGGGTGGAATGAACCCCCTGGCACCTGCCTGTCAGGCAAGTGAGTGGGCTCTGGCCAGAGAAAGCCTCAGCAGGGTGGCTGGTGCTGGGAGCCGGAATCTGCCCAGTTTGCGGATAGATTGGGAAGGGTGAGGGCTGAGGGGTTATGGGCAGGGCACCTACTGTGTGTGCTACTTGTGTAAGTGCCTGTTCCACGAACAATGGACCAATGAAGTTAGGGTATTGCAGCCAGGAAGGAGTTGCTAGACTTCAGCAGCTATGTCTCACCTGAAAGGACCACCCATCATCCATGGACAGCCAAGCCCAGGAAAGAGGCCCTGACCAAACCTACCACTATAAACATCATGGAAGCTCTCGCTATAGACCCTGGCTATAGCAAGTCTATGGGGGTAGATCAGGCATCGATATTTTTGAAAGCTCCCCAGGTGATTCTAAAATACATCCACATAAGGCCTCCGGGTGAGAAAGCACAGAACGGGGATTCTTGTGAGATCATTCTGGAAAGGTGAACATGAGGGAATTGATGCTGTTAAGTGGCTACTATGTGCCAGGCACTATGCCGGGCATTTCTCAGCATGGCCTCACTGAGACCTCAGAGCAACCCCAGAGGGAGATGGAGCACCCACCTTTGACAGGTAAGGAGCAAGTCAGATAAATCAGGTAACTGCCCAAGGCCCCCCTGCAAACCAGAGCTGAGATTCCAACCAGCTCAGTCAGACTTCAAACTAGGGCTCTCTCAGCTGTGACTCCTGCTCCTGATGCCAGATTTGGGAGCGAGAAGGAAGAGGAGCAAAAGAAGAAGGGAGGAGAAGGAACAGGAGGAAGAGAGAGAAGACCTAGTTTCCCTTTATTACTTTATTAAATTTCTAATAGGAATTGTGATCATTATTCCTTGGGAAAATGCGTGGCTCTTGGGTACATGTTCTTGAACCTACATTCACAGTTGGTTCCCAAGTTCACCCTGCATGGGCGGAAGAAAAGAGTCCCCTAGACCTGCTGAGGCTGGCTCAGCTCATCCTGACTGTTCCCCACCACGCCGTTCCCTGAACATCTGCTGAGTCCCTGTCTGCTCTGTGCCCTCTCTCTGCCCCCTCCAAGCCCTGCCCCACTGCCTTCCTCTCTCAACCAGCAAGTGCTGAATGGCAACAGCACTTAAATAGCTCTCACATCCCCTCTCCTTCTCCCTCCTATTGTTCTGAAACAATGGTGCTGTGTGACGCTGACCCCATAGGGCCACAGTCTCTGCCCTGGCTCCTCATCTGTCTTCCTACATGGGGTGACATCAGTCCCTCAGGGGCATCCACAGTTTGCAAAAGCAGCAGGATCAGGTGCCCACACAGCCTGACTTCCTTGTCCTTCCTTTCCCAAGGGGTGACAAAAGCCTTGGGATCACTGCTGTGGGCAGGCCAAAGGCGACTCCCCTGTGGATGGGTTAACACCATCCTGGCCCACTCCCGCCCCCACCCCAGCATCCTGCCAGGTCTTGCCCTGCCGTTTGTTTGGCCGGCTCAGGCCCAACCGTCTCATCTGTCATCGTGTGACTGCTCCAGAATGAGCTAAGTTGAAGAGTTGAGATAAAGACGTCAAACATCAAAAGGCTTCCCGTCATTCCAAAAGCTAATGAGCTGGGATACTTTCCAGTGGTCTGCAAAAGCCAGGCTGGTGGCTGCTGAGAGGAGAGGTTCAAGAAACTGCTCAGTCTCAATGTTATGTCCCCCTAAATCTACAAGTAGGCAAAGAGACCTTCAAAGGGTGGTGATGGAAGAAAGGAACAATTGAGATTTTAACTGTAGTTTTCAAGATAAGGAGCTTTAAGGATCTTTCCGTCATAGCAGGGAGTCAAGCGCTGTGTGTGGGTGCCCTCCGGGGCAGTCAGACCATATCTTCACCAATGCCTGAAAAGAAATGAGCATCTGAAATATTCTGGTGTGTGCTTAGAAGATAATATGGTCATCTTAACATTTGTGATTTAAGAAACTAGAAATTTTTATATTATTGAAGCTACAGATCCTAGGGCTTCCTGAAGCTATGCAGCACTGTTAATGTACATAGGGGGTGTTCTTGAATTTAGTAGGTTACTGTCATTTTCTCATGTGCCCAGCATTTAGCACTGCAACTGGTAAATATAAGGTGCACAATAAATATTTACTGAGTGAAAATGTGCCCAGCACAGAGTAAGGGATTATAAATAGTGGTTCTTAGCCTTGGCTGCTCATTAGAATCATTTGGTGAGCCCTTCTGAAAACTCCATTGCCCAGGTCTCACCCCAGGCAGAGGCAGGGTCAGGGTCTCTGGGGATAGATCAGGCATCGATATTTTTGAAAGCTCCCCAGGCGATTCTAATATGCATCCAAAACCAGAGCACTGCTGCTGTGTGGACATGTTATTCTAACAAATGAACCTTTCACAATTGCAATACTGGTTCCCTGCCCTCTCTGACTGTTATGATTAGCCCTGAATTAGGTGGAGGCAGGAAGTGTCTTCTATTTTGACAAGGGAAATCTCTTCCATGTCACATTCCTTCCCAGGCATACAGGCTGCCTCAGGTGTGGAAGGACCAAGAGAGCACATTGATGGGTCTGCCCAACAATGGCGAGTGTTCTGTGGATCCAAGAAATGGCAAGAGAATGAGAATTTTCAGGTTTGAATGGGCATCTGCCGCCCCTTATCAAATTCATCAACCTCATGCTCTGGGGCCAAGCTGTTGCACTGTGCCACTCCCCTTTTCAAAAACTTTCAGTGGCTCCTCAGTGCCATCAGGATATAGTTCAGATTTTCTAGGTGACCTTTGTCCCCCATGGTTTAGCGCCCAGGCTCCTCTTTCAGCCCCATTCCCACTGTGCTTGTGTGCTCCCCATCCTTCTTCTGAGAAGGTGCACGAATCCCCAGTACACTCTCGTGCCCACCACCTACACAGGTGTAACAGGGCTTCTTGCCCCATGGACAGCCTCACTGCCGTGCCCATGTTGCTTCAGCCTGAAAACAGACTCCTCTGTTTAAATGCTACCTCCCCACTGAAGCCCTTCTGGATTTTGTGCAATGGGAATGAAGTCTACCCTATCTATGCTTTGCATAGGCTTCTATTAGATCACAGTCATGTTTTATGTGATGTAAATTATGTGATCTTGAAAATAGTGTCAATAGAAAATAACCAAGTCTTGTGGACCAGTAAAAAGAAGCGGCTAAAAAGACATTATTGGGATAACTGGCATAATCAGAACATAAACTGCGGATTAGCTAATAGCATAGTGTCAATGTTCAATTTCCTGAATGTGATAACTATACTACAGTTTATTAAGAGAACAGCCTCATTCTTGGGAATGCACACTGAAGTATTTATGAATCAAGAGGCATGATTTCTGCAACTTTCACATGGTTAACAAAAAAAATTATATAGAAAGAGGATGATAAAATAGATGAGGCAAAATGTTAACACTGGGTGAATCTGGGTAAAGGGTATATAGGAGTTCCTTGCACTATTCTTGTAAGACTTCTGTTAAGTTTAAGATCATTTCCAAGTGAAAATGAAAAGGTTGCCTTGGGTGTCCAACCACCACCCCAATCAAAGCTTGTGTCTCCCTGTTCACCCACCTGAACGCCCCTCCCTCCACTGGAGCTGCCAGCCAAGTGCTACCTAGATGCTGCTTCAAGGCATGCTGGATCTGCCCTGGAGAAGGCATCTTGTAACTCCCCAGAAGCCCCCACAGGCACTCATGGCTATCCTGGAGAGGGGCGGGCACATGCTACTGAGGGGAGAAGCTGCCACCCCACGATCCCCTTTCCTATCCATCCACTTGGCTTCCAAATTAAGCCCTCTCTTGAGTAGCATCTCTTGGGGCCTCTGCCAACAGGCTCAGCCAGGCCCTCAGGCTGCAGGTGACCTGCCCACTCCATCAAGGGATACAGCACCATGTCCAAAAGCAGCAGTGGGCCCAGCCAGACAATTTGCAGAGGACATCTGTCTGATCTGGGAAATACACAGCCAAGTGGGAACTGACCTTGGACTAGAGCCTCACCCCCCTGGGCCTGTCTCTCCTCAGCTGTAGAATCATCACCTCTGAGTGGCTGATGCCCAGTTCCTCTCAGTTCAATCTGCAGTGGCGGCTATGCAAGCAGCACTAGGCAACCACCATCCCCAAGAAATCCAATTCCACTTTGCGGCTCAAGGCTTTATCACTGAGTAACCATTTCTTCCTCCTCAGCATCCTGGGATTCATCAAAGCTTAACCAGGACACATCCTTTCCTGGTCCCATAAATCTCTCATCTTTGAAAAAAGTGTTTAAACCCCCCCCTTACCTCTGAGCAGTAACAATGAAGCTGAGAACTTCCTCTTCCCCAGACAGGTGGCTTGTATCAAAGATCACGCTGAATTCATACTAGTGAAAAAGGAAGTGGTATTTGGCATCAGCAGGCATTCCAAACTTAAACTGTTCTCTTCCATCTTCTGCAGTTTATGACCTCTGGAAGCTCATTTGCATGATAAGCTTTAGTTTTATGTATAGCTTTCTGACTGTCAGGCCAAAGTCACAGCTTTAACAGTAAAACCAAGCCTGACACATACTCTGGCCAGAGACCTGCTGCTCCTGTTCCGCCACCGAGGCTCTCCTTAGGAAGTGATGCGTTTACACTCTTTAACCGGGACTTTCTAAGTTTCACTCACATACCATCTTTTCAATTTCTGCCACATCTGCAAATTACATCACCTGGGATATTTGTTCATATTTTTGTTGCCTTACTCTTTTAGTTTAAAGATTGTTTTAAAAGAACAATTTATATCACTGTCATAGATGGGAATCCAGGATCACTTGCCAAAAAGAGAAGGTAGTTGTAAAAATGAACACAATGAAAACAGAGCAATGCTGAACTCTGTTGCCTTTGGAAGCCTCTGAGCCTAAGGTCTACTCCATCTTTGTTGAAAAGGGAGATTTGCTGGTGATAGAGAAGTGTTAAAGATGTGCTAGCAGGATTGGAGACGTTCTCCTGAGTGTGGCTAGGATTGGAAGACTATTGAAAAGTCTTATGCGCTGAATGTTTGTGTCCCCCCGCCACTCCTCAAATTAATATGTGGAAGGCCTAACCCCCCTATGTGATGGTATGTGGAGATGGGGTCTTTGGAAGGTACTTAGGTTTAGATGAGGGTGAGGCCTTCATGATGGAATTAGTGCACTCAGAAGAAGAGAAGACAAAGAGATCTCTCTCTCTCCATGCACACACACCAAGGGAAAGCCAGATGGGCACACATAGAGAAGGTTCTGTTTATGAACCAGGAAGAGAACTCTCGCCAGGAACTGAATCTGCCGGGACCATGACCTTGAACTTCTCAGCCTTAAGAACTGTGAGAAATACATGTCTGTTGTTTAAACCACCCAGCCCAGGGTAATTTGTTATAGATGACTGAACTGACTAAGGTGAAAAGGGTCACTGTTAGGGTCAATGTTGTTCAGTGCTGCGTCCACGTATCACCCACGATAATTTCATGAACCATCTAAAATTATCTAGTGTACCACTTAGTGGTGAACATCCTGTGAGTAGGGGGCACTGCCCTAAGTAAATGGTGTTCACCATATACATGTCAGGCATGTGTGAGAATGTGGGAGGAACCCTTGGGTAGGGGTCACAGGACCAGGTTCCACCACAAACTGACTGTGATCTTGGCTAAGATACTGTCTTTGCATTTCAATAAAAAAAGGAGGTTGGACAAAACGGTTCTTAAATTTCATCAAATTTTGAGAGCCTATAACTTATACAATGTCTAAACCTTTGGGTTCCATTATGGTGAATTCTAGGCAATGGTCTAATATTTGCAACACTGAATTCTACTGAATGTTTCCTGAAAGCAACGGACATTGGTCCATTACAATGGACCATCATCTACAGTGAACATGGACATCTCTTTCTAGACAGAAATTTCTGTTGCTGTGGGACTGGTCAGCTTACTGTGGGGTGGGGGGCAGGCATGGAGACAGGGCGGGAAGAGGACAAGAAGGAAGAGAGAGGCAGGGTCTTGACTGGTGTAGAGTCAGCACTGGGAGGAGATCTGAATTAAATTAAAAACATTAAAGAGCACAGTGAGATGACAGGCAAAAGAATTGGGTGAGAAGCCAAAATCAGGGATGGAGGCCTGGAAGAACAGAATGTCAGAAACTGGGCAGGCTGTGAGAGAGAGAAATACATGGCCATCCAAGGTAAGCCAAAGTATAGCCATGAGGCTTAGCATGTGGCCTGGAGCCTGAGGACCCTCAGGGTTGGAAGGACATGGGAGTGCACGCTGGGCTGCGGATACGGGGAGCCCCGTCTCTGCTGGGTGACTTGTTGGGCTTTCTCCAGGGAATCACCCTCTGCTCCCATGCCCCCCAATCCCCAGGTTTAGTCAGTCTTGCTTCAGGTCCCAGCATCTGTATGTGGGAGGAAAGTGGTAGCATTACCAGCTGGGAAAACAACCAACATTCCAATGTTCATACTTCTGTGGGCTCTATCTAATAAATGTTGGCTGGGCACGGTGGCTCACGCCTGTAATCCCAGCACTTTGGGAGACCTAGGTGGGCAGATCACTTGAGGTCAGGAGTTCAAGACCAGCCTGGCCAACACAGTGAAACCTGTCTCTACTAAAAACACACAAAAAATTAGCTGGGCATGGTGGTGGGCACCTGTAATCCCAGCTACCAGGGAGGCTGAGGCAGGAGAATCCCTTGAACCTGGGAGGCGGAGGTTGCAGTGAGCCAAGATTGCGCCACTGCACTCCAGCCTGGGCGACAGAGAGAGACTCCCTCTCAAACAAACAAAAATTTGACAAAATGTAACACTCCACTAGAGAGAGAAAGACACATCTTAGGTCTGATATGTGATATAGGCTGGAGTTTAAAATGAAATGGAAACTGTTGCAAGTTTTCCAGTTAAGCCTATTATCTGTTACTCAAAAGATTTTAATTAAATTTGTGTGCAGATGTGCCACATACATTACTATAGGCAATAGTGTCCATGGATTGTGGTCGTCCTCCTTTATCTCCACCCTCACCCTACCTGGAGTCTAATGGGACTTGGCCTGTACTCTGCCATCCACATGTAATCCATTTTCCAAGGGCAGACACTTATTGAGGTTTCCCTCCTCCTGGGGTGAATGTGGACAGAATGAGGAAGAGAGGCAGAAAAAAATCCGAGGAGTCATGGGCCACTTGGCCACTTGGCCACTGTGGTTTCGCCAAGATCACACAGTTTGTGGTAGAGCCTGGTCCTATAACCCCTACCCAGGGGTTCCTCCCACATTCCCACACGTGCCTGATATGTATATGGTGAACACCATTTGTTTGGGGCAGTGTTACCCAAATCACAGGATGTTCACACTGGGAGTGGTACACTAAGATTATTTTAGGTGGTTCATGAGATTATCTTGGGTGATATGTGAACACAGCACTGAACAACATTGACCCTAACAGTGAGAAAGTTATTACCTTTTTGCCCTAGTCAGTTTGGGATTCTATCACAAATTACCCTAGCTTGGGTGGTTTAAACATTTATTTCTCACAGTTCTGAAGGCTGGAAAGTCCAAGATCGAGGTGCATTCAATGGGGCTTATGGGTTCAAGTGATTTGCTAAGAAATGACCAAGTCTTCTCCCTCACCAGAATATTCTCACCATTGGTTTACAAATAGCTACTAGATACTGGGACCAAAGAGCCTTGGAGATTAAAATGATCTGAGTGTATGACCCAGGCAGGAGAAAAGGATGAAGCTTTCACTTTTTTTTTTTTTTTTTTTTTTTTTTTTTGTGAGACGGAGTCTCACTCTGTTCATGGCAGGGAAAATAGCTTCCATTTCCAAAGGCAGACTTGGTCTTTTAGATTCTAGTTTTGCCTCCAATCACCACATCTTTTTACCTATGTTTGTATCTCCTTATAATGATGGCACATACTACAATGTTCCATGAATGTCTGAAGATGCTGTAGTATACTATTTGAACTTAGAAAATCTGTCTCCATACCAATACCAAAGTGACTTAATTTCTTTACTCTTCTTAAAAATGAAGTGGGATACAGGTATTTATGTTTTGAGAATTTTGAGAGTTCTCTTCAGAAAACTGTGAGCACCCAAGGGAATGACAGGACTATAGGTGACAGACCACATCTTCTTCTGTGTTGTCTAGGGGACTCAAAGAGGCACAGAATGTCTCAGAAAAAAAATTATTTTAGGAAGGTCAACTAAATGGCACGTGCTAAAGTGCAGAGGCTGTGGTGTGTCCTTCACTTTCACATTTGGGGTACATCATGTGAATCGAAGAGAAAGACCATATGATGCAGCCCCTCCGGAGTATACCCCGGTGTACACAGCCAGGGACAGGAGCATGTCAGGGCTTCAGTGGCCGCCCCAGCTGCTATGGGAGGCAGGGGGTGGGAGGACTCCTCACCTCAGGGAGGCGGCGGAATCAGTGGCTGGTGGAAGGGCTGGGGGCCTGCTGCTGAGGAAGGGTCCCGTCTGTGTCCCTTACCTTTGACTTTGACCTCATGAAAGGAAATCCCACGCTGCATTTGAGGAAGTCCGATTCCAGCAGCTCACAGGAGATGCCCATCTCCTCCTGAAAGAAAAAGCACCAACAGATGGGCCGGCTGCACAAAAGGCAGGTGTGTGGGAGCAGGCTCCACGGGGCAATCGAGTCCTTCAGAGCAGTGCTCAGACGGTAGGCACCAGTGGGACGAGATGCCCTGACCAGGCCGTCTCCAGCCCCCTTCCAGCTGCCCACTTTTTCATGGGTTCCCTGGGAAGACAGGTAAGAGGACAAAACCACTCTTCATTCCTAACTAATGCTTTGGGTTCAAACCCTAGGGCAGTCCTGGTGAGGTGGGCTGGGCCATGGCTGAGCTGGAGACCTCCTAAGGTTTGGATGAAAAGGCAACCCTGTCATCTTCTTGGCCCCTTTCTCCTAAGCCCACACCCTAATCCTGCCTTTTCAGATCTTGGTGGTTCAGGAAAGACAAACTCTAAGAAAATCACACCAAGAAAAGAGAGGGTTTCTTCCTAAAGCCTGAAGCAGTGAGGGCTGGGCTGTCCACCAGCAAGTCTCCCCAGGGTGTGGGGAGGGTACAAGGGTGAGGAGAGGTTTCCAAGTGTAGCCAGCTTAGGCTGGACTCTGCACACAGCGACTTGAGAGAAACAGAAGAGAAAGGCTGTAGGGAACTGCTGTCTTTCCACCTGGGCACATGGCTTCCAACCAAGGTCAAAGGAAAGCCAAGAGGCTCTTCACAAACCACAGGGCTTCTCAGAGTCACTGAAAGCAAATCAAGACTGCCAAGCGGAAACAGTATGTTTACAGATTTTGGAAGAGAAGGTACAGAGGTCCTCCAATTTCCAGGACTCACATCTCAGCTCAGACTAACATTTCAAGGCATCTAGACAGGTGGATGAAAAACATTTTTATTTTGTGTCCAACTGGTAAAAACATGTGAGCATTTACCATAATATATCTACTTAAATTATCCAATTATACATATCTTATTATTCTAATATATTATGAACATTATCAAATGCACCAAAAATAAAGGTGATAAAAGGTAAATAATCTATGGGGCTAGAAATCAAGACAGTAATTATGGAATAAGTGGAAGGCAGTTCTGAGTGCAGGTTACACAGGTTTGATCATTTTGTGAAAGTTCATTGAGCTGGGAACTTAATAACTTGTATATTTTTGTTTGTTTGTTAAACATCAATACACTCTTACTTAGAAAATAGCAATGAAACAAAACCCCTAAAAGCCCAAATACAATTAAACAAAAGATAAGAGATATATAAATATAAAACTAAACTCTAATATATCTTTTCAGCATCCAGTCTCGGATATAACTGATCTCAATGATGATTAGTTTTCTAACATCTCTCTGTGCTCTTAGCCAGTGTTATTCACACAGAGACCCAGGATCGCCAGCGTTAGTATCACCTTGGGAGCCTCTTTAAGGTTGAGGCAGGAGAATGGCGTGAACCCGGGAGGCGGAGCTTGCAGTGAGCAGAGATGGTGCCACTGCACTCCAGCCTGGGCGAGAGTGCGAGACTCCGTCTAAAAAATAAATAAATAAATAAAATGCAGATTCCTGGGCCACACTCTAATTGCACAGCATGAGTCTTTTCTGAGTAGACACAGAGACTGCAGGGTCTGGGATGAGCATTTTTAATACATAAAATTATTGAGTGATAAAATTAGTGATTCTGCCGGATAATGATGTTTGGTAGCTGCTGCTATGAGCTTTCCTTCCCCTTCAGTCCATTTGGCTGGCTGCCAGAGGAAGCTTCTTAAAATATGTCTGTCCCCACTGCAAACAGAATAAAGTCTCAAATCTTAAGATCCCAGCTTCCATTTTGGCCCATCCTGTTCTGTTGTGGTTCTTCCACCCCTGCCCCGTGGCACGTATATGCTACTATTCTACACACACCCTGCCTGCTCTTATGTTCACACCTCTGTTTAAGTTGTCCTCACTGTCAAGGAGCACCTTTCCTTAGCCCTTCCCCCAAGGTTTTCTTCCTCTGTCTTGTCCCCAAACACTCATGGATGGCAAGCTCATGTATGTAACATGCAAATGGCACAGGATTCAGAACGCGCCCTGAGCATGCACTGGGTAGCTGAGTTGTCGTATCACACACCACATTTCAGCACTGAGAGAACATATCTGAGAGATGTTAATCGCTGTCCTCGTAGAGCTCAGAGTTCAGAAGAGGTGGGGACCTCCCAGCAGAGACATAGGTGTTTACATAGCTGTGTGATGGCAAGTGTGAGGGCTGCTCTTAGAACCTAGAGAACAGGCATTGGCAATTTCAATAAGGAAAACCAGAGAATAATTTCTCAAATGCTGTCTCAAGAACTGCATGGCATTAATGATTCACCATAGATGGCCTTTCCCTACCATCTTCTTCCTCATATTCCTCCTGCCAGAAGCAACACCCACAACTGTCCCAAGTAGACACTACCCTAAATCCTGGCTAATTGGCCTGTGGACATCAGAGGCAGCAAGCCAAAGTCTTGGATGACTTTAGTTCTCTTGGTTTCCTGGGGACGGTCCTGGTTCATTTCTGTCATTCTGGTATAATTAGTCTCAAGAGTGTCCCAGGATAAGCAAATATATATAAGTGTATGTGTGTGTGTGTATCTCACACATACACATATACATATATTACATGCTTACCTAACTCTGTTTCCAGTTTCTCTTGTAATGCCCAATACCTCACTGGGAATTCCTTTCAAACCAGGAGAGAAGCTTTAATTTTAAGTCAAAGGTCTGTTCTTGAAGTAAAGATTTATTGGCTGGGCGCTGTGGCTCATGCCTGTAATCCCAGCACTCTGGGAGGCCGAGGCAGGCGGTTCACGAGGTCAAGAAATTGAGACCATCCTGGCCAACATGGTGAAACCCTGTTTCTACTACAAATATAAAAATTAGCTGGGTGTGGTGGTGCATGCCTGTAGTCCCAGCTACTCAGAAGGCTGCGGCAGGAGAATCACTTGAACCTGGGAGGTGGAGGTTGCAGTGAGCCGAGATCGCACCACTGCACTCCAGCCTGGTGACAGAGCAAGACTCTGTCTCAAAAAAAAAAAAAAAAAAAAAAGAAATCAAAAAGATTTATTGCCCCAAAGACTTCTTCAGTTTTTGCATGTGTGAAATAAATGTCTTCAAAAATGTACTCTGGAACTCGAGGAAACCTCAGTTTAATTAGCTTTGACCTAAGACAACAGTACTTTTGATCATTCAAAAGCTGCTCAGCTACCTTATTTTTGTTAATTCCCAAATGCTAGAACGTAACATTTATATCAGCATTTATTTAACTATTTCTGGTCTCTCTTCCACCTTACTCAGTCAAATAAAAATTTCAAAATTCTGGTTGGATCTTGGTGAGGACAGGCCAAAAGAGTAAACCAAAGACATCATCTCTAGGAACAAGAGAGCTGAGCTTATGGTTCATGACTCATGTGCTCCGGGATGGTGTTACAGGAAGGGATGTCATGGATTACCCTTCTGCTGCCTGTCAGCACCAACATAGCTGTTTATACTGGCCATGTCAACTGCCCTGACCAAATGTTTTTAATTCTATACCCCTCTCTTCTACTACTGTGATTTCCAAGGAGGCCCAGAGGTGTATCAGAGCATGGGCTTTGGCAAGCAGTACCACTCCTTGTGTGGATGCTGGTGGTGCTCCACTCAGAACCCCTTACTAGATAAGTACAACAGCTTGAATGGAGTCGCTTTGCCTGGGAGGTTATGACACCTTCCCCAAAAGCATTCCGTAGCCTCTGATTGATGTGGGTACCCAAGGATGTCCCCTTTGCCTCAAGACAAGACCAACTCTGTTGTACAATTAATGTTCCAGAGCTCCCATAGGACTGGGTGAAGCAGACTCCAGCTGAGCCCACATGCCTGTTTGGTTTCTTCCCCTCCTCATTCTGCTCCCTTCGCTCCTCTTGCCCCAATAAATCCCCTTCATGAGAGTCCATCTCGGGTGCTGCTTCTGATGAACCTGAACTCAGATAATACTCTTCCCTTATGAGGCTGCTGGCACCGAGAACCACTTGGAAAGTCCTAGGCATTTGCTCCCAGGTGGGGAGAGGCAACAAAAGGAGGATGAGGAGAAAGCTCACGTGTTTATGATTCTTGTTTAAATCCATACTAAGGAAGAGAAAACAGTCCTGACTGCAGTTTATAAAGGTTGCAAGGCTTCCCCCATTAGGGGAGCACTTCATTCAAGGCAACACCAGTACCCACTTTGTTCTCCTGGTTTCAGATCATGCCCAGGGCATAACCTTAAAAAGCAGAGTCATCATGGAGCCACATGTCTTCTTGGCAGCCAGGCAGGCATCCAAGAGTCACAGACATACCCACAAGGTAATTCTTTAAATAAAAATAAAATCCCATGTTTAAAATGGATTCAATTTAAAAAATCAATTCAATTAAAAATACAAATTTTGGGGAGATATGGCTAATCTAAGCTGTCCCCAGCTCTAAGCAACATGTCAGTGGAGAGCACTCTGGTTGGGAGTTGCCTATGACTTCTGCCAGGCACTTGGTATCCACCAGGATGCATATGGGAGAGATTCCAGGGACCAGGCTTCTTCTGTGCTCTGATTGCTTCCAAGTTCCAATCATTGCCTACACTGGCTTTAACTTAGAGAACTTAACATTAGCATTTATCAAGGCTGATGGTTATGAGACTCTTAGCTGACTGGGAACGCGGACCAGTGAGCAAACTGTCTATCTAATGTCCCTGACTGCTAGTGCAGACATCTGATTATCTGACTACAATACAATGCAAATCAAATACAGAGTGAAGCAGAAATCTTGCTCTAAAAGATGCAGACTTTCATGAAATCAATGAAAGTGATGTTGAAAAATGGATAAAACCACTGCAAAACCACTGATAAATCTGGATCTGGCAGAGTTAGATCAGTTAACTGTTGAAGGAGTCAAAATTCTCCTGGATACTACTTTAAGATGCTTCAGAAGACAAAGATTTAAATAAAAAAGATCAAGAGAAGCCCTTAGAAAAAAGTGACCATTGTTAAAATGATCCTTTTGTGATTGTACCGAAAACCAGACAAAATATGAAGCAAAGGATGTTATCTTATGAAATAGTAGGAAAATTCACATTCAAAAGCTGCCTATCCAGCACTCAATTCCTTCTTTTGTTTCAGAAGTTAGGGCACTGTTATTTTAAAGACTCTAATAAAGCAAATAATCTTTTGCCTTTGGTCTAAGATATCTTTGACAATTATAATTACAATGTTTTGAGTGCCACTGAATAAATGCAGGATAAAATAAACCTAATTTCGTAATTTTCAGTTTCACATTTCAGGCAAAGTCTCAATCAAAACTTTTAAAATACATTTTTATTATAAAATTTTAGACCCTATTTTAAGAGGATTCACATAACTGGCCTTTTCCCCAGTCCCACTTTTCCTTGTCTGGCAAAGA